>NC_000013.11:69620227-69771742 GCF_000001405.40 Homo sapiens | reverse complement strand
ACAATTCAATCTGATCAATGAAGAAGCCCCCAAATCTAAAAACTATGCACCCACATATCTTCACCGTTAGTATCTCTTGGCAGTAAAGGAAAAAAGAATATCTGTTTCTCAAGTTAGACTTTCATAACTACTTCTTACTAGAAGCGGCTAAAGTGAATCTATGCTAACAAAGGTCAATTGCTGCTAGAAGTGTAAGGAAAGCATGAAATGACAGACAAGAGACCTTAGTTGAAGCTTCTATGGATGAAATTTCTAACCTTGGCCCTTACATCTAGAAATTTATAGAGGCATATCAACCTTTCAGCATCCCTCTAAAAAATTTAAAATGAGGAGATAAAGTAGCTCATTAAAAGTTAGTTGTGGCAGTTGATTCTTATTGCTTAAGCCAACTTTAAATATAATAGATGAAAAAGTTGCCATTATTATAAGATGCCAAAGAAGAAGAGCATGTTTTTTTTTTTTTTTTGAAAGTTGCTAAAGGCACATGGTGTTAGACAATGGGTTGTAGAGAGAGAACAGGCAACACAGAACAAAAGTCTGCAAGGCATGGAAGAGGTAGTAAACTCAGATTAAGGTGAAGATAGCAGTGATTAGTTGGAAAAGTCTTGATTTGAAGACTTATCAGGCAGAGAAGAAAAGGTTGGTAAAGCCCAAAAGTATATATGGCAGCAGAACAGCATTGTCTTGACCACATATTACAGTAGTGAAATTAGCAGATCACAGCTCCCAAAGAACACTCTAAAGGTAGTATCTTTCACATTTGCTTATGCCATTCATACTTGTGATATATAAACAAGAAATAGACTAGCATCTACTAAAACTACAAAAACTTAGCTGGGCATGGTGGTGTGTGCCTGTAATCCCAGCTACTTGGGAGGCTGAGGCAGAATTGTTTGAACCCAGGAGGCGGAGGTTGCAGTGAGCCCAGCTCGTGCCACTACATTCCAGTCTGGGCAACAGAGTGAGACTCCATGTCAAAAATAATAGTAGTAATAAATAGAATGATTAGGATCTTATTTATTATTCTATTGTAGAGCAGAGATATTTATTACTTTAGACTTCCATCTCTCTCATTCAGTTCATTTCCACAATAGAAAGATTAATGTCTTAGGACAGTGGCTCACACCTGTAATGTTAGCACTTTGGGAGGCCAAGGCAGGAGGATTGCCTGAGGCCAGGAGCCCAAGACCAGACTAAGCAACATAGTAAGACTTCATTTTTCAACAAAAAAATTTAAAAAATACATAAAGACAAAATTAATGTCTTAAAACATTGTTTACCTGTCCAGAAACTATAAACTCCTTAACAATGCATTCACAGCTTGTCAATGACGTAGGATAGTTTTGGTTCCACTTCACAAGCCAGAAACCTCCGTGGCCAGCAAAGCTTCTGCATGAGTTTTGTTCATGCCTGCTCAGCTCACTCTGCCCACTCGGGCCAGCAGGCTGCACTTGGCTTGCTCCCTGGCCCAGATTCTGTGATCACCTTGGGTTCTGGGCTTTGCCCACATCTGGACCAGGCATGCCAAGACTGGCTTTCACCTTGGGTGCTGGCATCTGGCTGAGGGGAATGCAGTGGTGCCTAAAAACTCAGAGACTCCAGCCATCATGGAGTCCCAAGGGGGTGTTATAGCTCTCTCCTGAGGAGTCCCAAGTTCTAAGCCCCCAAGAAGTTTGAAAATTCTATCTCATTCCCACTGTTCACAGTCCAGTGAACAAGGGCATGTCACAGCTCTGGCTCAGGGAGGTCTGGGGTCTGGGGACCCAGAAGGGTCACCACTGTTCACTCCCATAGTCTGGCAAACAGGAGCATGTCACCGCCCACAGCTTGGCAAGCCAGCTAAGAATGTGTTTCACCCCTTTTCATTCCTGCCATTCAGCAGGTTCTGGGTTCTTGTCCCATGACCAAGAAGAATGAGGGTACGTGAATACCGGAGAGTGAGCAAGGCAGGGAAGAATTTTACTGAGTGACAGAATAGCTCTCAACAACAAAAGGAGACCTGAAGTGGGCAGCCCTCTTTTCTGTGAAAGGGGGCCCAAAGAGGGTAGCTGTGTGTGTGGCTGAGTCCTGGGCTTTTATATGTTTGGAATGAGGAGGCACAGGCTGCAGGTAGCCTTGGAAAAGGCAGCATTTCATTAGCTAAAAAGTATTTTTCAGAAAAATACAATCTGGAAAGAGTGGCAAACAGGAATAGATGTTCTCACTCCAGTCACAGACTCTAACTAGAACCAGCAGCCCAGTTTTCAGGCTTCTGGCTGTCACTGGCTTGAAGGTTGGGTTTCACCAGGGACCCATCCCTGTCTGCCTAGGAATTTGTCTGTCTCCTGTCACTGTCATCAGTATTTTTCCTTTGCCTTTTATGCTATCCTAAACTCTGCCACTCCCCTATACTATTATACACTGAGATTTAGAACATGAAATATTTTACCAAGCTGGAAACATCACAAAGCAGTTTTATAACCTACTTTGTAAAAGCTGTTGCCTCTACCCAGACTCACCCTTCTTTTAGTCCCTGCCTAGAGAAAAAATCTTTTTCAAACCTTAGCAGTTGGGCCTAATGTCATTTCCTTGCTAAAGTCTTCCTTGACTTACAACCCTGTGCAATGACAGTGATTCTTTCCTCTGTACTCCTGGTACATAGTGGGTATGTTATAGTACAGATAATTGTAGATAATAATTAGTTAAGCAATTTTTCACATTTATCCTATTAGCTTCTAGAATGAGACTTAGTCATATTCATTTTTATTTAACTTTCCATGAATTCCTAAATATTGCTAGCTTGTATAAAAACTGCATTACATGAAAGTAAAATATCATTGATGGTATAAAATCATAAATCGAAACATTAAAAAGAATGTTAGTTCCATGTAAAGATAAGAACCACACTTGTTCAATTTCTGTAAGCACCTAAATTTCAAGCATTATTTTTGCTTTTAGTGAGTAGGATCTAGAATAAAATCAAAAAATCTCAATTCAGTCAAGAAATAACTAGTAATCTATAAAAACATAAACAGTGTATTAACTAATGAAGTTATTAATAATTACTAGGTTTTTATTCATATCTGCTCAACATCAATGTATAAGAGATTTAAATATAATCAAAAGTAAATTAAATACAATGCAGAATCAGTATAATTTTTTCATAGAGAAAATTTTCTCAATGTTTTATCTTTTAATTTTCTTTCAAACTATTGTACAACCCTTTCCACATCTTTAACATTACATACATCATTTGAAAACAGTAAAGAAGATTAATTTGGTATTCTAGGCTTAAGTTTCCCTGATTAGTCAATTCTTTCATTCTTCCTTTATTCCTCCATGCTTTGTTCACTCATACCTCTAGTGGACATGCATTAATTGAATGTCCACTAGGTCCAAATCACAGCTGTAGAAGCTTTGTGTAATGTAATAATTTCAGATATTTAAAAAAATATATTTCACAGATTCTGTAGTCTCTTAGAAGACACATACTCCATACTCTAAATTCTTTTAATACAATCTAGAAAAAATGCAAGTTTTACAAAAAATTATCAAACCATGGTTGCATTCTTTGCAGCTTGGTAAGCTAAAGAAAGCTTGATCTATGGATATTTGGGTAGGTATTTGAATGATGGCTAATATTTAGGTATTACCACAGGAGAAGATCTTTCTCAGCACAGAGTGCAACATAAGAAATATCATGTGAAATATGATGTATGGAACATAGATGAAACATACAAACAAATGTATTTTACTAATTTAGATATTTTGTAAATATAGTACTTTACAAATTATCTTTGATATAATTTGAAAAAAGTTTGAGGCCAGATATTGATTAAAATATTACATCATATTATGAGATTTTCTCTTTAGTATTTTCTGGACAGTGGAAGATCTTTGAAGTTTTTGAGCAGCAGTAGTCTATGCCACTAGAAGACTAATCTGATAGACACATCAAGAATCATTGAAGATCATGGATATGGAGGTAGTAAATTGAATTAGAAGCCTACTGAAGAATATGATGTCAGAATTAATTAAGACAAAATACTGAGAAAACGAAAGGAAAGAACAAGCTCTCAAAGGTATTCTAGAAATATAATCTATTGATGTTATCATCATATGGGTGATCAATCTATTAAAATTCTGCAAAATTAATTTTAATTTAAGGATTGGATATAGTGATTATATTAGTATAGACCGATATTTACTGTTTTTAAAAGTTTTATTTTTGTAGGAACAGGTTCTCGGTATGTTACCCAGGCTGGTCTCAAACTCCTGGCCTCAAGCCATTCTCCCACCTCAGCCTCCGAAAGTGCTGGGATTACAGGCATGAGTTACCATGCCTGGATAACTGATATTTCTTAAAAGAGAAGAGAGGTTGCTAAAAAAGAGTTTTTATTTGTGAAAGTGTAAAATTTGTTAGTGTGCAAGTTCTGTATAACAAACTTAGGTTTTTCCTAATGATCCTTCTGTTACTCAAAATTTATGTACATGTTTTTAATTTTTTTTGAATTTTTACATCAGTTAAAATATATTTTGCTTTAAGCAAATAATTCTAGTTTGGCCTGAAACAAAAAGTCACGCTAATATATCTGTCTTTTATTTCCAACTATTTTTAGTAATTAAGCAGTTAATAAATATAGCAATAATTAAGTTAAAGTAGGATATATCTACACCTAGTATCTTTTTCGTTTCTTTTCTGAAGTAGGGAGAAAAACTCTAGAAAAATACCAATTGCTACTTTGATATGGGTAATGTATACCAAAATTGTCTATGCTGTTCATTGTCAGTTTATAGAAGATAACCAAATATGTAAAAGTATATTAATTACTTTCCATAAAATTAGTTTGTACTAACATTGCTACTATCAATAACTGTTTTATTCCAGTCAGGCTTGTCCAGGTTTGCAATCTTTAGGCCAGACACTGCTTGTTGCCTATCTACAGCTAGCTACCTCGTTTTATCTTTTCTACAATAACCCCATTTTTACCTGATGCACTATGACAACCCAAAAATATCATTAAGAGAATCTAATCCATTTTCCAGTCAGTAGCCTAAAGATAGACTTGTGACTGAGCTTTGGGCAATGAAATATGGGAAAATCTACTGGGGATATTTTCCAGAATTTCCTCCTTGACAAGACAAAGGATATTTATACATACTGCCTTTTCTCTCCCACCTTCTTTTCCATTCATATTTCTGAAGTAACTGAAGTATCATTATTATTTTTTGCTCATTTAGTTATAAACAGAGTCAAGCACTCTAAATATATATATATATGTATATATATATAAAAATTAGGTGACATAAAATAAACTTAAAAATTGGAAGTTCAAAAATATATGAAATGCATTTTGTACTCTATTTTCCATATTATATGCACATACAGAGAGAGAGAACCTACTTTCTTTAGACAAATACAGGAACTCAACATTTGCATATTTGAAACAGCTAATGTATAATAATGAAAAACAACTCTTGTAGTTTATGAAAAACTTATACCTTTGAGGGTTAATTCCTCCTATATTTGATTGCTGTTTTCCATATGGTGTGTGTCCTCCAAGCTAAATTTAAAATCTTATTTCATGGTCAATAATATTCATATATAGGAAATGTTAAATTCATGAGGCAGTTTACTGTTTACAGATTATTTGTATCACTTTTGAGATGTGATTGGAATATAGGATTTTTTCCAAAGCAGAATTAGCACATGTAATAGAGATTGCTGAAGATTTCGGTATCATCTACAAAAGCAAAGAAGTTTAATGTTCTTCCCCAGCTGAATCTGTTAGAATCTGTTAGTCAACTGAGGCTAAGAGTAAAATCCAAAATAGCAATAACTTAGGTGAAACAATTTTTTCCCTGTGGTAAAGTCAGGAGATGAGCCTCTGTGGAGCAAAACCACCATTCAGCTGAAAGCCCTTAGAGCATCAGAGGTCTTCTCGCTTCTTCCTTCTCTGTTTAGCAACAGATCGGAGGGTAGCATTGCCTGGGTGGTTGCTTCAATTCTATCCATTGCACAGCATTCCAAAGTATACCTCTGCTCTGGTCAAATCACTCTATCTAGCTGTAAAAGACTAAAAATTCTATCTTTTATCTTCCTGTATGGCTATATAGCCAGCTAAAAACTAGTGGCTCTATTAGGATAGGACAAGGAGGAGAGAAAGTGTGGTGGCCAATTATCAGTCTCTGTGACATGGACATTGTGACACGGACATTGTAGGAATTAAAGATAAGAGTTTTTCCTTTTTAATATTACCTAGTATTGACTCTCATTATAAAACAATTTTAAGTTTGAATCAAGCTCTCATTATCTTACCTGAAATTAGTATGTTCTTATGTGATAGCAAAGCAAAGGATGGTCTGAGACATGGTCTTTAATATTTTGTATAAGATATCTATTAGTATACAAATCTTGAGCTTTTACATCAATATGTGTTTCATATTATTCATAAAGTATATAAATGTATTAATGAACTAAGATTACCATCACTATAAAACATGCAAAGATAGGCCAGGTGCGGTGGCTCATGCCTGTAGTCTCAGCACTTTGGGAGGCTGAGGAGGGCGGATCATCTGAGACCAGGAGTTCAAGACCATTCTGGCCAACATGGCAAAATCCCATCTCTACTCGAAAAATAATAATTAGCCAGGCATGGTGGCACATGCCTACAATCCCAGGTACTCAGGAGTTTAAGGCAGGAGAATCACTTGAACCTGGGAGGTGGAGGCTGCAGTGAGCTGAGATTGCGCCACTGCACTCCAGCCTGGGCGACAAAGCGAGACTTGGTCTCAAAAAAAAAAAAAAAAAAAAAAAAAAAAAAAAAAAAAAAAGCAAAGATATACATGAAAGCATGAGAAAAGGAGAAAAGGTAACTTCTAATATTTTATTTGCATACCCCAAATGATTGCATTATGCACCCTCTAGGGTATAGGTTTTCCTCTTTGAAGAACATAGATACTTTTTTAATGTGCATGTGATTACCTTGGAATCTTCTTAAAATTCAGAATAGAATTGAGTCGATCTGTGTTGAGAGGTATTCTGCATTTCTAAATGTTCCCAAATGATGCTGATGTTCTTGGTGCCAGGATCACTCATTGAGCAGGAAGTGTCTAGAAGACTTTCTCCCAAAGGCTTACATTGGCTTCAAAATCTTTTGTTTCTTGGAACTCTTACATACTTACTCATGATAGCGATGCAAAGTATTTTTTCTTTGTGCCATTTTTTAGTAGAAATGTTATGAATTTAGGACTTTATTCATTTATAGATAAGGTCATATCTCTTCTACTGAGTACAAATCAATAAAACTGAAGACAAAAACCTTAAGAGTTTAATTGAATAAAGAATGATTTGAAAATTGGGCCTCCCTTCGAACCAGAATAGATTCAGAGCAATTCTGCCATGTGGTTGAATAATATTTATGGAAAGAAAAAGGAAAGTGATGTACAGAAAAAGGAAAGTGATGTACAGAAAACAGTGTATGGAAACAACTTGATTGGTGACAGCTGGACATTTGCCTTATTTAAACATGGTTTTAACAGTTGATCACCTGTGATTGGCTGAAATTCTGTGATTTATACAGTTCACTATGAATAAAGAAATCTTTAGGGCAAACTTAAAATATGCACGGAAGCAGCTTCAGGCTAAATTTAATTCAACGATTTCCCCCATTTTGTCAACCTCTCAATTTTGAGGGATTGATCAAAACTTCAGGCATAGATGTCATTCTGTTATGATAGAAAGTGGACTTATTTGGTATCAAATCCCACTAGGCAATAGAGCAGAGCGTTTTGTAAGGTGGAAACAGGAAAACAGAACAATAGAAAAAAAAATGGTTACTTCAGGTTACTTTTTTGTAAGGGTTACAACAGAGGAGACTTTCTTATTATGCTGGAATCTCCTGTTTTCTGGAGAAAAATAAAACACTGCTCTGTTTTGGGATCTATCTTCTTTAACATTTCTGTTTGACTCCAAAGCATTTAGCACTAGTGACTCCATTTTAATTTGGTCTGTGGGGGCCTAGTGCAAGAGCTCAGTTTCAGAACATTGGCTTCCCATCATTTTGTTTAATAATTCCACATTTTTGGTCAGGTTCTCACCTAGGTGAGAGTGTGACCAAAACGGGGCTTTAGTGCTACTACCAATTACTATCATTTATGGTTTCAGGTCTCAGCACATCATTCATAGGTTAAAGTGTCCTCGTGATCACACATTTATTTGAGTTTTTGTCATCTCAGTCAAAGAGAGCGCATTTGATATTCTACATATGCATACATGTAAACATTAACAACTTTTGAGAGAAAACAGTGCACCAGGGACACTACTATTGTGACCATCAGGAAGATAATATCGAGAGTTTAGAGGATGCTCCTTAGCAAAAGTCTCCATGAACCAAACCAACTAATTAAAATAGATCAAAGAATGAGCCAGATCTAGGAGCTAGTTTATTAACCTCCTGCAACTGAGTCTCTATAATACCCAAACTAGTCATCCATGTACAGCAAGAAGTGTCAGCAACTGCACAGATTGTTTTCTATTCAGCCAGTAAGTAATCTAGGTCAATTCTGTTACCTAGCACAACTCTAGTAAGAAAATTTAATGAAGTCTGTTGTGCAACCGTGGCCTTTGCAGTAGAATCTGCTATAGAACTTTTTATGAGGGACACAATTCTAATTCTTGCCTCATTTATTCCAAATCATGGAAAAAGAAACCTAACAAAGGATGCCCATCCAGAAGAGTAAATGTTTCCTGGCAATTTCTCTTAAACTTATGATGTAGGTTAAGAGGAGTGGACAAATGTTCTGCTTCTGACTGATTATGGAGCAAGAAAATTACTACTAAACTTCCTTATCTACATTGGCCCTTCATTTCCCATCAATCAAAAGCATAATTTTGCCCATGTATAAGGTTGGAAACAAAATCCTCCACAAATAAAGATATACCCCATGGGTGCACACAAGACCCCTTTTCCAGTTTTATTGTTCATAGAGACATAAGAAAAAATTGAGGTAAGAGTCTCATGATGGCAGAGAAATCTTAACTTATGATCTTGGGAAAGCTGTCAATCTAGGATGCTGTCTGCTTCTGGGGAGAAACTTCCCTGATTAGCTTTACCTTAAGGTCTTCAATGGGTGCACAGTTCCAAGAGTCTGGAGCAGCCCTTCTGATTTGTGAGATTATGAGCCTAAGATTCAAAGTTTTAAAGTTTTCCTGCAGTGTGGACCTCAAGGACACTCTTTATCTGCTATTGTTTCCAGAAGACATGGATTTTAGATCATGAAGAGTTTGATTGTCCTCAGTTGGTGAATCATGAAAAGCATCCTTTACCTAGTGAAAATACACTTTGGCATAATGCTTTAAAGCCTTGCAGCACTTAGTCATATCAGAGTCGAGAAGCTGATCTAATTTTAGGGATAGGCCTTCCAATGGCTATCTCATAAAGGATCAGTTTATGTTTTCCATGGGAAGTAGATTAATTGTCATCAATCATCAATACCTTTGACCAAGAAAATTCAGTTAATTCAGTTAGTTTTGCCTAATGCCATTGTGTCTGTAATACCTTATTTACAGATTTTACAACTTGTCTAGGGAAGTAAGTACTTCTGTTGCTGAAGATTTATTTAGAAATGCCCCATGAGGGAAACGTATTTTCTGATAACCTTTTAGCTACTGTTAGCATTGGGCCTCTTGCATGGGAAAGTTTCTAAACAACCAGAAAAGGTGCATTGAGAAATGGTAATTGAATGAAATCTGTCTAAACGATCAAATGGTAATAGAAATATACTTGAAGTTGTGATTATCTTTCAACAATTATGGGTTTGACAAACTAAAGATTGATCATAAACCATCTTAGCAATTTAGAACAGTCACTCATCAACATATATTTTAATATAATTTGGATCATTTTATCTATTCCATGATGAGTCATTGAGTGCAGAACTTTTAATAATGGAAGCTTCAAGGATTCAGGAAAAACCAGGCAGCCATTGAGACTCCCCATGAGTCAACACTTAACATTGGACTTATATCCTTTCAAGGACCAATTTTGTTTCTCCAATTAAAGTGCATAGCACATTTATTAAATGCGTTATCATTGGTAATTTGACTTGGACCATGGAGTTTATCCAAAGGGCATATCTTAACAATTTCAGTACTGACTGATGTAGCATGAAAATCTGGCATAGTATTTTCCTGGTATTCAATTAATTATTGTCCACCAACCTTATATATACTGTTAAATGAAGTTTATCCCAAATCTGCCTCCTTACATCAAATTTAGCCTAAGTTTAACCTAAATCCACCTCCTTACATCAAGTTTAGCCTAAAGTTCCATCATACCTAGTAAACTGTAACCTAACTGGAGGTGTAAACAGGCTGTAGCCTATTTTTGTATTAATAAATAGAGTTTCAGCCAACCACAGGCAGCCAACTGTTCAAACTGTGTTCAAATAAAGTAAATGCTGACCTGTAACCAATCCAGCTATTTCTGCATCTCAATTTCTGTTTTCTGTGCATCATTTTCCTTTCTGTCTACAAATATTATCTGACCATGTGGCAGCCCCGGAGTCACTCTGAAACTATTCTGGTTCATTATGCTGCCAGATTCTTATATTGTTCTCTGTTCAATTAAACATTTTCAAATTTAATTTGTCTTAAGGTTTTCTTTTAACAGATGGTGCCAGAAGTGGGATTTAAAGTTAAGCTTTTCCTGGCAACTCCCAGGAGCATTGAGTGACCAAGTGAGTTGTCAACTGGGCCCATTTTGTTCATTGCTCTCTGGCAACAATGGGAGATTCTGTTGTGGGTAAACTTTCTCTCTGATTCCAAAGCTCCCAGAATTAGGCCCCAGAAGCAGCAATCAGAAAAATGGTAAAATCTTACTAAAGATAATTTAAAATTACAGTGGGACATTCAAAATAAACTATATTGTATTTTAAAAAGTGCATTTAAAATTGAGGACTCCCCCCTTAGGCTCATCCAGGGATGCTTATTGATGTGCAGAAACATCTAAAAATATTTCAGTATTTGTATTGCCTCCTGAAAAAAGTCTTTATAAAAAGCAGATAAACTGCTTAAGTGACTAATTGATGATAAAATTTAAATCTTGTGGCAGGGCACAGTTGCTTATGCCTGTAATCCCAGCAGTTTGGGAGTCTGAGACAGGTGGATCACCTGAGGTCAGGAGATCGAGACCAGCCTGGGAAATATGATGAAACCCTGTCTCTACTAAAAATAAAAAATTAGCCGGGTGTGGTGGTACATGCCTGTGATCCCAGCTACTCAGGAGGCTGAGGCAGGAGAATCGCTTGAAACTGGGAGGCCGAGGTTGCAGTGAGCTGAGATCATGCTCTTGCACTCCAGCCTGGGCAAAACGAGTGAAATTCCGTCTCAAAATAATAATAATAATAATAATAAAATATCCTAACCTTTTGGTTTAGTTACTATCCTGCCCCAAAGATGAAAATAATTCTGGATAAGGTGTTTACAAAAGGTAGGTCCTCAGCTGAGGCTCTCAATCCCTGGTTTCTTTTTCAGTTATCCATACTGAGTCTAGGCAGAGAGTATGCTTTCTTTGTCTTACTCCTTAATAGGCTTAGCACTGAATGTAGTAGTTTTAGCTAAGGATCAGAAACTAAGTTAAAAAGTCTGATTATTGAACTAAATTGGTATTCAAAATTTACGTTTTTGACATTTACCAGACTATTTAAAAACCTTTTGTAAAAGAAGAGGTTTAAAGAAAACCTCCATTCGTGAGGGTGTCTTTTTGCCTATGTACACTGGAAGAGAGGAGGGTTTGAGTCACTAGAAACTCTTACTATTGTTTTAAGTTTAATAACAATTAATGACAATTTGTTAAGTTTGCCTAACCAGTCTTACCTTTGTTTCAGGTGCTTTGCCTGGCAATCTTGTCTTAACTGGGCCTTTGCCTATGGTCTTTTTCTTTGGTTTGGGCAAATGACGATACAATATTTAGGCATGAAGTCTCAGCTCTGAGGTTTTGAGATATAAATTTTCTATCTTATTTCACCTAAAAGTCATCCCTGTAGAAATGCGAATTTAAGGTTGCCTACCTAACAATTGAGTAGAGCAATGAAGCAGGTAACTAGAAGATGGATAGTTTTCTTTTCCACATTCAGACTATCTGTAAGCTGGCAAATAAAAAATCTTAATGAAACTTATAAGATCTACTTTGTCTCTGTCTATATGTCTTTATGTTATGTATATGTAATATTTCTATGTGATCTAAGATAATGTTTAGTAAATAAAGCTAACTGTAAAATTGGTAAAATAAAACAGAAATGTCTCCAAATTATCATTATTAAATATAATTTAGACATTTTTGCCTGTGTCTTCTGGTTAGACAGGTTTATGCAGTCTCTGCTACATGTTCTTAGGTTATAAAACTATTGGTTCTGTAATATTTTTGATACCTGCTTGATTTGTTCATGAGCTAATGCTGTCAAAGATGGCTGCTGGGCACCCCCAGAGCCTTGCACACATCTTACTGTGAGCTTACGTCTTTAGTTTTGAGTCTCTAGATTCTGAGGTCTGGACAGGTGGCCATGGTGAGGCTTGAGAACATGTACTCTGTGCCTTGGTCAACAGCTACAAGGCAGAGTGAATCTTAATATAGACCCATCTTCCTCGGCCCAGATTTGCCTCCCTGCTGGGAGGTGTTCTCTTTCCTGAGTTCTACACCTGGTATGTAAATTCTGGACATAGACAATCCCTGCCCTTAATTTCCATCCATGGGTGCCATGTAAGCTCTTGGGACCCAGAACACCCTGGGGGGAACATTAGGGAGGGTACCTGTGTCATCGTTTCAAACTTATTTTCAGCAATTTAAATTATTTAAGTCATGTTATATTTAATTAATAATCATAAAATGAGTATTTTCTAGGTAAATAAAAATACGGAAACATTAATTATTAAACATAGTTTAGGTTTATTATGTACTCAGTCATCTTATTTTTATATGCTATGGAAAAGCTAAATATAATTAGATCTGTCAGTAAACAAAAAAATTGAGGAAATAGCTTTCTTAAAAAATTACGAGATGGTTCTTTTCTATAAATGCTCTTATAAAACAGTTCAAAATTACTTCCTAAATTTTTCACTGGAAATTAGGATTACTAACAGTGAAAATTATACTTAATATATGTAATTAAAACTACTAGATATGACAATTCTATATACAGACTTTATAAAGAAAGATGTGGCTTTAGTGAAAAAGTTTATTTTAAAAGGCATGAAGATGTGATTTTTGTGTAAGAAAAAGTCATTTTGTCTGGTTTAGAGATTATTTAAATGTTGTTTCAAAATGAAGGAAAAAATGGTACAGATAAAACAAAATGGATCTAAAAAGTTGAGGAAAACAGAAAAAAATTATAAGAACTTATAAAAGGTTTACGGAAATCTTATCTTGTGTGGTCAAAAGCTGACCAGGATTAAATGAATTGGTTTATAGGATTATTAAAATTAGCTTTTGTATTGATAATACACTAATATAAAAGTAAAAATTGGTTTATCTTTTGAACAAGAATTTAGTATATCATCATTAATAAGAGATAGTGAAAGATTTTTGTTCACCTTTTGAGTAAACTCCAAAAAAGAAAGGAGAGAGAAGAGATGGATTGTTTCATGCTATCTCAGATTTTTTGATCGTTTGATGGTTTGAAAAACTAAATATCTCCATCAGAAAATAAAGGTTTTTACTTTTAAAAAACCTTTTATTACCACTTTAGCTAAATGAATGATAGTTATTGCAATGGCCTGTGATTTTTTTTTTTTTTTTTTTTTTTTTTGAGATGGAGTTTCGCTCTTGTTACTCAGGCTGCAGTGCAGTGGCACAATCTTGGCTGACTGCAACCTCTGCCTCCTGAGTTCAGGAGATTCTCCTGCCTCAGCCTCCTGAGTAGCTGGGATTACAGGCACCTGCCACCACGCCAAGCTAATTTTTTGCATTTTTAGTAGGGACGAGATTTCACCATGGGGTTTGGCCAGGCTGGTCTTAAACTCCTGACCTCAGGTGATCCTCTGGCCTCGGCCTCCCAAAGTGCTGGGATTACAGGCGTAAGCCACTGCCAGGCCAACATGTGATCTTATTTGATTAAGTACTTTAAACCTTTAACCTATTTGACAGCCATCCCCAAATCAAATTTCAAATTCTAAAATTAAGTCTTCCTGACTTCAAACTAACTTCATTTGGGTTGCCCCAGAGGGCCACTGAAGCATCCAAAATAGAAATAATAAACATTCATATCTGACATATTAAGTTATATGGGGACTACTGTCAAATAATACATGATGCTTAACCTTTGAGTTAAATTTTTATGGATATATTATTAATATGTGTTCCAAAATTTTACAAGGTTCCTAAAATTTGAATATGTCTTGATATATTTTATCAGTCAAAATTTTGATTATTATGTTAAATTATTTTGGCCACAGAAATAATGAAATTGTCTTGTTAATTGCATCTTTAACAATGACCATATGTGGTCTTGTTCATATTCTTATGCATTTCTGTAAGTTACTTACAAGTGAGTAAAATCCTAAAGTTTTGTGTCTTCAAGGAGGTTCACGGAAATGATAAAAAAGGACTCTGATAAGTATTCTTGAATGTAGGTTTCTAAAAGATTTAGGATCATATCGCTTGGACTGGGTAAAATTTCTCAGAATTCTAATGAAGAGACTGACTGGTTTATAAAAAATGCTGACCAAAGCAGGACAAGAATTAACTGAATACCAAGAAAATACTTTGCCAGATACTTTGCCTAATAACTGGAGTTTTTTTTGTTTGTTTGTTTCTGTTTAATTACAAAAAAAGTTGATGATATTTGCAAAGGATAACCTTAGTGACACTTTTGTCTTTGCTAAAGATTCCTAGCCAGTGCAGGACAAAGGGGGTTTATTAACTAACTGTTCACATGTGGATTATCTTTGAATTATTTTCATGGTTCTCTGATATTTAATACATTTAGTTATAATTGTTTCTGTCAATAGGGATTTATACAAACTGCTGGAGAACACCACAGAGGCCACATCATGGAATCCTCAGCTAACAATCCTGTTGAATCATCCCAGATAGTTTGATTCTTAATTTAGTTACTTAATTTACCATGTTAATTTAGCATATTGAATCTTAAGTTTTCTATTTTTCTAATTTTTCACATTTCTTTTCTACTAAAATCTTTCTGAATTTAGTGATTATTACTTTGGTGTTTATATATACAGCAAGTTTTAAAAGCTCAATTTAAACAAATTAATTGTCAGAGTCTGGTTCATAACAAAAAAGTAGTTTCTGCAAATTGCTACTATTGGAGGGCAAAGTTTTTTGTTAATGATGACCATAAAGAATTTAAAGAATCAATAAAATATTGATCAGAAATTCATTTTAGTCACAAAATCTAATATTAAAATATATAGAAGTCTTCAAACTCATTCCATTTTATCCCCCAATATTTTGCACTAGTATTATCCCTTTCTGTATCAGGTATGGCTACATAAATTATCAATAACTGCCACAGAGTTATCCAACCTCAACATATGTAGATATTATGGTCTTGGAGTAAGGGTGTGACAAAGACTATTAACAACTGCCTCATTTGGTGAAAGATGCTTCCTGGGAAGGGTGGGGGTCAACTTACTTATGTGGCTCAGGTTCCTTTTGAAGTGAAGGGATGGAAATCATCCAGATCTGAAGTAAGGGGAATACACTGAGGCAAACTAAATAAATTCCACTAACGGCCCAATGGCAAGGAAAAACAGTGAGGCCCCTGGGACAAAATACTCTCAGGGAACAAGATTCACACAGCGAGAATCAAAAAGATTAAGAAATTTTCACAAAATCCCACAGCTAATAAGTGATTAGGCTGAATGCAAACAGCCAGCTTTCAAAACGTATGATTTTTCCACTACCCACATGTTTCATTTTATTTACTATAAATGCAGAGTAATTTCCTCAATTTTATCTAATTTAGCAATTATTGAAATACAATAAAAGGGTAAGCAATGGGCTGTACATCTGACTGAGGCAAGATAATCTTGTTGAATGACTTTTTAACGTGAAATGCATTACGTAATTAACTTTTTTCTGCAGTGCTTTTTTTTTAAAATTACTTTGGAGATGAATTCAAATATAAAGATGTATTAGTTACATTAAAATAATATCTCTACTAATTCAGATCTATCATATTTGAAATATATAACAAATATAAAGTAGAAGCTTGTATAATGTTACTACATAAGTAATATTTTAATACCATATGTTTACAAATTGTGCAATGTTCCTGTGTGTTATTTCACTTTTGAACTGCTATAAAGAAATACCAGAGACTGGGTAATCTATAAAGAGAAGATGTTTAATTGGCTCATGGTTCTGCAGGCTGTACAGGAAGCATGATGCTGGCATCCACAAACCTTTTAGTGAAGCCTCAGGAAGCTCTTGTCACGTGATACACCAGCTTCCTCTTTTCCTTCATCCCAAAGCAGAAGCTGGTGTATCACGTGGCAAGAGTGGGATCAAGAGAGAGAAATGGGAGGTGCCACAATATTTTAAACAAACAGATCTCTTGTGAACTCAAGGAGCTAGAACTCACTCATAACCAAGAGGATGACTCTAAGCCCATGAGGGATCCACCCCCATGACCCAATCACTTCCCACCAGGCTCCACCTCCAACATTGGGAATCACATTTCAACATAAGATTTGGAGGACATAAATATCCAAATCATTTCAGTCTGTAACATCTCATAATAAGGATTCAAGTAAGCAAAGTATTGCAGGGTCATAGATGCAGGAAGAAGAAAATCTTACTAAAACAATAGAGAACCTTACAGAAAACTTCCCATTTGAGTCAGATCTGAAAGAACAGTGGAATTTCATCAGATAAGCTGAGGTTCAGAGTGTTAAAATTCAGGGAACATTCGGGTAATAGCAAAATACACCAAATGATAAAGGATTTAGAAATGTAACAAAAATAAGACTCGAACAATGGTGTAAGGCCAGGATAAAAAGAAAAGCCATTGTGCAACAGAGAGAATGTTAAACATGGATATGAGCAGGAAGGTGCCTGATGGCATTTGTATTAGGATGATTTTTTTTTCTAGTGGCAATATGAAGAATGAATTGGAGTTAGGAAAGTCTATTAGGTGCTATGGGGAGTGCACAGTGTAAAACACAGGCCCTGTTCTTAAAAAGCTTACAATCCAGTTGGAAAGTAAAATATTAAAATTTGGAAGATGTATAATAATAACAATTTTCATATGACACAAACTTTGTGCATTTATTTGCCAAAATTTATTGAGCTTCAAATGTTTGGTAGGTGTTATGGTAAGTTCGGATATTTGTATATACAAAAAGGATATGTCCTTGTCCCTTATTAAATTGTAAACAAATGAGAAAAGAAGTATAGCTGCATTTCATGTATTTGGGACTTTACATTTTTAACATCCCTGAATAACATCAATATGTGATAATATATTTTTGAGAATAATTACTACAACTCTCAGAGAGTTGGCTGTCCTGAAAATTATATTGAGTCTCATTAATTTTATTAATAATCCTATCATTTCTTAAAGGGTAGCTCCTACTGAAGTACATTCAGAATATTAATTTTTGGCTGGGTGCAATGACTCACACCTGTAATCCTAGCATTTTGGGAGGCTGAGGCAGGTGGATTGCTTGAGCCCAGGAGTTCGAGACCATCCTGGGCAACAAAGGTACACCCCCATCTCTACTAAAAACAAAAAAAAAAATTAGCCAGGCATGGTGGAACACGCCTCTAGTCCCAGCTACCTGGGAGGCTGAAGTGGGAAGATCACCTGAGCCTGGGAGGTCAAGGATGCAGTGAACTGTGATTGCACCACTGTACTCCAGCCTGGGTGACAAAGCAAGACTGGTCTCAAAATTTTTTTTTTCAATTATTTCTATGCCATTATGGAAAATGAACATGGAATGTCAAGATGCTAATATTGGTATACACGGAATCCTGTGTATGTCAACAGAACCCTGTTAGAATACAGTAGAGAATAATCTTCAAGTAGGACAATTGCCTAGACATTAACATTACACCTACTGAATTTTTAATGTTTTTGCCAATGATTGAATAGAATAGCTTAAACTCAATTTCTGTTGTGGAAAAAATTAACAAATATTCTCATTTGATTTATCTGTCATATTGAAAAATAAAATCTAGATTTGGCCCTACTAATACTATCTTTATGATTTGTCTCCCATCTGTATTATTTTTGTCATCTTCATTCATTCATTTAAACAGAAAAGTTCTGTTTTTGTTTGTAACAGCATCATCACTTGTCTCCTCACATATTCCCTGCAATGGTCCTAAAGGCTGGAGCCAGGTTAAACGAATGAAAGTTCAGTTCTAATGATGTCATCCTCTTGTGAAAATTCCTGACTCGATTCCTGAGTCTCACATAAAATTTTTACTTCAATTGGTTATCAAAGCCTTTATGTCCTAGTACTAAACATATTTCTTTCAGCCTTTTTTACAGCCTTTTTATTTTAACAGCTATGAAGGTTTGGGTTCACTGAGTAGAAGAGTCCCTAAGACTTATTACAGTAAACACTCCTGAAAGACAGAGAGGAAGAGAGCAGGAGAAAGTGGGGGAGAAACTTTAGAACTAACTCCCATGAAGGCAAAATGGGAGGAAGGAGGATTGGGCAGGAAGAATCTCAGACTGCAACACACTTCCAAGAAAAGTTCAGCCAGGCATCCTAGAGGCAAAGTCTCCAGTTCAGGAAGACCCACGTCTTAAAAGAATGGGCCTGCATTAGTAATTCCACCATGCATAGTCACTCTCCAGAAATGGTTAGTAAGAAGCATGGCTTTGGTGCAAAGGCAGCAGTGGATGCGGAGAGGCTGTATTCAGTTATGAGTGAGCACACTTAAATGGTTGCTACAACAGCCAGTTATAAAATACCTATTCGCTTATGGCCATATATAGCCTGAGTTTTTTTCTATGTTCCGCTCAAGTGATTCCTTTCACTTAAAATGACTTGCATCTATGGTTGTCAAAATTCTACCCAACCTTTAAACCCCCAGGTCAGTGGCCTCATCTTCTGAGATATCTCCCATTGGAGCTTGTAAGCCCTACAGCACTTACCAATGTCACCTCAACTGTGATTTTTGTTTTAAAAGAAAACAACTCTTAGCTACATGGAAAGCTGACATTTAGAGCTAGAATCCCAAAGTTGCAAACGATTGTTATTTGTTTTATTTTCATGTTATAACATTGCACTTTAAAACAATGTCTACGTACCACATGAAATCATCCTTGAGATTTTCATGATACATATTAATATAATTAACAAAATATATTTTGCTAATTTACTTTTTAAAATATTTTTGACAGGACAATATTTGTGGAAGATTCTGGAACAATATTTTTAATTGCTTAGATAAATCAAACATAGATAGAGTCCTCAGAAATAGAGGCAACGGGGTGCATTAGCAATAGTTAAATCTTTAACTGATTCCTTCAATAGTCTCTTCTCGTATCTCTACAGTGATACTATAGACTGAAGCTTGGTTAGAAGATGTAGGTTCTTGATACATTGCTATGATAATCTTCAACATATTGAATACTGATATAATGTTAAAGATGTGCCAAGCACTTTTCTAAGTGCTTTGTATATATCGCTTCATTAAATCCTTGTAACAACACTATGGGTTAGATATTATAGCTACTCCATTGTGCAGATAAGAAACTGAGGCACAAGAAGCTAAATAATGATTCCAAGGTCACATTGCCAGGTTGTAATTTTGAATAACAGGCTGTGTTGATGGATAGATGAGGGAGGAGTGTAAGCAAAGAAATACATCCTCTTAATTTGCAAATATTTCCTGAGTCCTTCATTTTTCCTTATGTCAACTTGCATCACATCAGGACAAGCAAGACACTATCACCTCTCACGTACATTATTTGGCATGGCCACATCTATTCTCATTTTTCCACACCATAGCCAGTGTGACATTTTTTGAAAAATACAGGCAGATACATCATGTCTCTGTTTAAAACATATTAGTAACTTCACATTACTCTTAGGATAAAATAAATCATATTGGCATACAAGGCCCCACACTGTATGGTCTTTTAACCATTTAGCCTTATTGTACATCATTCTGCCTCTTCCTTGACTCTCCAGTTTTCTTGCCACATCGGCCTTCTTTCAGTTCCTCAGAAATACTCTAATTCTTCTTATCACAACACGAGTGTTTCTTCTGCCAAGAATTCCTCATCCCCACATAAATCTTAATCTTCCCCCAGATATTAGCTCAGTCATCACTTTTCACCTTGGACAAGAACCATTTTTTTTGTCACATGGACAGGTAGTAAGGTAGCACCTATTTGTGTCCTTCAGCAAGTCCTGTCTTTTCCCTTCATATCCACCTGTACGCGTTCTGTGAGGGTATGAACTTATAGAAGGCATATCATAAGTATTGGAAATATGGATTGATGAAGAATGAATCCATGAAATGCAAGTTGCATAACAATAAAATTGAAAGTTAGCAAACTGCTAAACTTTACCTGACAGCCTTGATTTCATACACCTACACATAACACATGCCCACATGCTCCCAACACAGATACACACACACACACACACACACACACACACACACACATACACACATGACATGAATGAAAGATATTAGAGGCTTGTAGAGTAGGCACATTATTGGTTGGGGACATTCTGCAATGATACTAGTACTATTGTCATGTTTCACTGTGGCAGTTATTGTCAATTGTGAATGTACATAAAAATCATCTCAGGGAACTTTTAAACATCTCTGTGTCTGGACCTCATCCCAGTTCAATTAAATTAGAATCACCATATTCCAGATGTATTTTTTCAAAGGTTCCCAGGTGATTTCAATGTGCAACCACGATGGATAATCACTATTGTCAGCCAAAGAAAGAATGAAATAAATTATATCTAAATGCTATAAATTACATTTTTTTCTATGGCTCAAGCAAAAAAATCTTAATGCTACATAATTTAGTAGAATTATGTGAAAACTGTTTATACAAAACACTACATTGTGTTAGGCCCATGATCAGCATTTTAAAATAGTATATGAGTCAATCTGTTAATATTTCCATAGTACTTACACAGATATAGAAATTTATATAGAGTGCTTGTATATATTGTATATTATATGCTTATATATTTTGGGGGTGATTTTTGTGAAAACTATGCATATATATACACATGCATATATATACACACATACATGTATATTTAATATCTCACTGGAAAATTTTTATAATTTATATAAAATATGTATAATTTTACTTATCCATTTCTTTCCTTAATATGCAAGTTATTTTGTTTAATTCATTGCACAGAAAAACACTGAAGTGTTCAATTCTATGAACTATTACTTAAATTATTTCTTGTTTCTGAAGTAAAACTATCTGAGAGCATTGGAATTCAGTCACCCTAATCACTGATTTTACATATTTACTGGGTGATACTTTATACACGATGACGATTTTTACAAATTATTTTGAAAGGAAGATTTTAAATAAGTTATACCTGGAAGGTCATATATATATTATGAAGCCACTGGTGACTTAGATATATTTTGTGACTAATATGATGAATAATAATTTAGTAATTTAATACAATGATTAAATCAAAATAAATTTAAATACATTATTATTAATTTAAAATAAATATATTCTACCTAGACAAAAGGAAATACATTTTACAGGCTAATGCTTTTCAAATTAAGATACAATTAATGGCTAACAGGCAAACAGTAAAGCAATACTAAAAATTAGCTTTTCATTGTTATTATTTTGCATAATTAAAACCCTTTTTTATTGAAACTGTTTAGAGCTTAGAATATATTTAGCAATATTCTGAATGGATAATATTAACAAGTGTAAAGAAAAATAATAATTTCTTTTTCAGAACAAATTAATTTGGTTGCATTGATACAGAAATAACAATTAGCTTCAGAGAAATTATGGAGGCTCAACCTTTTGCTAAAATGTGACAGCATTATGGGGAATGATCTGTATAGACAGATTATCTTCTTCAATTCCTTCTCCATATTCGAAGGCCAACATCTTCATTGGATATAGTTATGTGTTCTATAACCCATATGGGAATATTTGATTTTAACATGTGCCATGTTACATGAAAATTAACGATAGTTTGTTTCTTTCAATAAACTATCTTAAAAACTTCTATAGAAAAATTCTGGTAAATATTTTGCTGCAGAATTCTCAAGGGGAGTATATGCAAAAAGCTACAGTCCAAAAATTATAAATAATTATATGTACTGGAAAAAGTACATTTTGGCAACATAAAACATCTAAAAGACATTTTAAAAATTATCAGAAGTCATCATGTAATTATTAAGCTTGAGTTGTATGAAAAATGACTTTAGATGTTTCTTTTCTTTCTATTAGATAATTATTTTTAGAATGCAGTTTTAATATTGATACTGAACATAACACAGAAAAATATTTTTAAACTCATAACCTTGCTGCATCTATAAAGATATTTTTAGTAACCATTAGGAAGTAGTTGAATGTATCATTTTGATTTTGAAATTATTCTAGTCCAATTATTCACCCTACCTAATGAGCCCATTCTGCAAGGAAATCATCACAGCTGCAAGAAATATGAGAATCACATAATAAGGCAGCTAGAGTTTGGAAATATTGTGGCAATCTACAAAAATATATTCCTTTATAATGTGGAAGCATAAAGTGTGAATATTTTCCAGGAAAACATGGATACTTTCAAAACATAGATATTTAAAATAAACAACAATCCTGGGAACATGTTACTTGCTAAACAATTTAATTTAATTATAGTTAGAGATGTTTGAGAGAGGAATTTAAGTTTTGAGAGTAATGACATATTTTATACTTGCTCTATCATTCTGCTTGCAATTCTTAATTTCTTAGATTTAGTGACCACCCCTAAGACAGACCATCCTGACCATTTGATTTATTTAACAACTAAAATTTATTAAAAGTTTATCATTTGCCGAGCACTGTTATCTGCATTTTCTATTTAATCTTCACACAAATACTATGAGTTATATACTCTTTAAAGATGAGGATACTAGGACACAAAACATTTAAATATCGTTCTCTGATGTCATACTGGTGGTGATATGGTCTGGCTCTGTGACCCCACCCAAATCTCATCTTGAATTATACTCCCATAATTCTCACATGTTATGGGAGGGACCCAGGGGGAGATAATTTGAATCATGGGGGCGGTTTCCCCCATGTTGTTCTCATGGTAGTGAATAAGTCTCACGACATCTGATGGTTTTATCAGGGGATTCCGCTTTTGCATTTTCCTAATTTTCTCTTGCTGCCACCATGTAAGAAGTGCCTTTCACCTCCTGCCATGATTCTGAGGCCTCCTCAGCCATGTGCAACTGAAAGTCAAATTAAACCTCTTTTTCTTCCCAGTCTCAGGTATGTCTTTATCAGCAGCATGAAAACGGACTGATACAAGCGGCAACAGTGGATTGGGATTTGGGCCCAAGAAGACTCCTAAACCAGAACTCATTTGCATTTTGCTCTGTCGCCACCTCTGATAGTCTCACTGGCAATACTTTGGTTAATTAAAAGATAGTAATATATAAATCTTTCAATATTTATATGTTTATTGTCTGTATTCTCCTCTAGAATATAGGCTCTATTGTATCTCCAGTAGAGAGATGGTAAACTTTCTAGTATTTAGAGCAAAGGATAGATACCTGTGTTGAAAGATTAATGGATAATGTAAATGTTCCTTGGCTTATTATATTAAATATTTGCTAGTCCTTGTATTTAATTAGTATATTTTGCTGTGTATAGTAATATATTTTTAATTATAAAATATTTCATATTTCTATGAAAGCTAGATTACAATATTTTCACTAAGAATAGTTAAATTTATCTTCATAATTGTGTTCCTAAGTTTCAATTCATCAGCAATATATAAGACTTCTCAATTCCTAATGTTCTTAGCAACATTTGATATTGTCATGCTTTAAAGTTTTTTGATGGCTAAAACTTTCTCCTAAAGATGTTTTATTTTAATATCCTGGTTGTTCTACTTACTAATTCTATTGAACATTTTTATATGCTTATAGGACCTTTATATATATTCTCTTTCATGAATTTCCTTTTTATATTGTCCCTGAGGCTTGAGTATGAAGACAACAATATCAATTACAATGGTTTGCAAAAACTGAGTGACTGCAATGAATCCGATTCTGTTCTAAGTGTTTTACATATTAATTCTTATCATCTTCATCATAATACCATGAGATAATTATTCTAGTTGTCCCCAGTTTAAAGTAAATAAATTACAATATAGAGAGAAATAGAAACTTGACTATATCAATGGTAGCACTGGAGGAAACTCTTACTGACATATAAACAAAAACCAAAACAATGACAATCAATACAATAGATTATATTACATTATCTAATGTTTACATTAAAAATAAAGTTAAAAGCTAACTCACAAATTTAACTTCTGGCCCTGATGGAGTATCTGCTATCTGAGTAAGCTTCCTAATATGTATAACTGTAAAAGCTAAATAAAACAAATCAAATTCTTAAAGTCATCAGAGAGAAACTAAGGAAGCCTGGACTTGAGAACAAGATGTGAAAGAGATGGAAAGAGTACAAAGATTAACTCAACATTTGTTTCGACTTTCTCCATGCATTTCTGGAGAAATTTATTTGTTTCTTCTTTCTTCAGTCAAAAAATCAAAGTGAAATCTGGCAGCTAGGGCTGGCTACAGTCTCTGAATGACAGAGGCAGTAATTAGAGTTTAACCTTTTTATGGAGGCTTACACAAATGCATCAAGACCCTGGAAAGAAAGGAAGGAATTCCCTAGACAGAAAAGTTCTAGACATCTATCAGTTTTTCATATGCTTCAGAATACCTTTTTTCCTTGCTATTATTAGTAAATCTTGATTGTGACTGTGGTCTCTCATTTGTGTGAGCCTTATGTGATAATCTGACTACCTGTTTGACAAACTCAATCATTTGCGTTCTCTCAACAATAAGGTGACACACGGGGAAAAGGAAAAAAATGAAATATTTTACCCATAGAACAATAACAACAACAAAAATACTGGAGAAAGAAAATGAGAAAAAAAACTGATTAAACAAGTAAGAAAATATTAAAATTGTATCAAATAAAATCAGTTATTACATTGAGTATAAATAGATTAAATAACCAAAGTCAAAGATTAGCACATTGTAACCGAAAGAACCTTAGTGTAGCTGATTAATTAGATAA
This sequence comes from Homo sapiens, assembly GCF_000001405.40. Classification (NCBI taxonomy): domain Eukaryota; kingdom Metazoa; phylum Chordata; class Mammalia; order Primates; family Hominidae; genus Homo; species Homo sapiens. Next base: position 69,746,458 of record NC_000013.11, on the reverse strand, counting down.
ATCAGAGTTTATATAATTCTTAGTGTAGCTAATTAAATTAATTAGACTTTAGAGCAGTAAGCATTACTAAATAAAAGGAAATATTTAACAATCAATTCAGCAAGAAGAATTTTAAATGCCAAATATGTATCCATATAATGTCATTGAAGTAAGCCAAAATAGAGAACTAAAATGTATAGTAATTATATTGAAAGAAATACAACTGGTATTATTTTGGGATGACATAATTGTATACATAGAAAATACAAAAAATGTGGATTATTATGACAATTATTTATAAATATTTCACAAGGCTACTGGATATAGTCAATACATAAGAACTATTTTCTTTTTATTTATTGATGAAACAAATAGAAAATTTAAAAATGCCAATTGCAATAGCATAGGGAAATCAAATGCAAAGTGATCATTTCAGTAATATATATAAAAAAGTTCTAATAAAAATTTCAAACAAACATTACTCCGGAAGTTAAAATCTTAATAAAATGAAGCTATGTACTGTGTTCTGGATTAGAAGAGACAATGTTGTAAAGATATTAATTATCTAAAAAATTTTGTGTATTCAATACCATCTCAATTGATATTTCATTAGGATATTGGGGGAAAATTCAGAAAATTGCAAAAAAATTAAAAATTCATATGAAATACCAAAAGGATATTAATTTTTATGTTTACAATTTTTTAAAATTTAGAACAAGTATTTTTCATGTTCTGTTCAGGAAATATTTGTCTTCCTCAATAGTCATTGTTATGCTTATCTATTTTAGTTATGCTTGTCCATTATATTCTGAAAAGTTTATTGTTTTAATTTTTATATTTAATCCTATGATCCATCTAGATTGACTTTTGTGTATTGGTCATGGTCCATTTTTATATTTGTGGATATCAATTCCACCAACATTATTGCTTTAAAAAAATATTTTTTCTGCTACTGCAGTAACATCTTTTTCCTAAATCAAGTAAACTTAACTCCTTTTCATCAAAAGACAAGATTAAGAAAGTGAAAATGCAAGCCTCACAGTGGAAAAAGATCTGTAATGCAAATATTAACAAAGAATTAATAAGTATACTTTTTAAAATTGACAATTTATATCCATATTTAAAATTGATTACAAGAACTACTACAAATTGATAAAATGATATAATTAATAATAAGAGACATCCAATTAAAAATGAAGAGGTTTTTAACAGGCCTTCACAAAAAGGGAGATTCAAGTGGCCAAAAAACACATGAACAAATGCTTAGTTTTACCAGTCATCAGCATGGTGAAAACTAACAGAATGATGGGATACCATTACTCACTCATCAGGATGACTAAAATTAAAATGTTTCACAGTGACAAGTTGTGGAGAGATTATCAGACAACGGGGTTCCTCTCCTTTACTGGGGGAAATAAAAATTGGTTAAAAAAAAAACCTGGAAAGCTTTTTAGATGCATTTACTCAATTTCAATGTAAGTATATTCTATGACCCAGAAATTTTACATCTGGGTAAAATGAACTCATATGTACATCAAGAAAGTGTACATTGCAGCTTTATTCTTAAAATATTAGAACTGGAAACCATGCAAATTTTCATCAACAATAGAATGGAGCTATAAAAGTGGCATAATCATACACTGTAATAATATTTGCAATTTAAAAATGTTACCATCTCACCTAATTTCTGACTAAAAATGTCACAGATAACAACTTTAAATAATTTTTTAAATTATATTACTTAATTTATAAGTTCAAATCAGGAAAAACTTATTCTTTGAGGAATTAACTGAAAAAAATACGGTTAGCTTTTGGGGGGGGTGTACCTTTCGGGAAGTTGCATGAGAGGTTTTGGAGTGGAAGTGATATAGGTATACAGGGATATTCTTGTGATAAAATACCATCAAACTGAACACTTACATGTTTTACATTACATATACAATGTAATTTAATATGTATTTATATATTGTATATTAATGTAATATATATATATTATACTTTGAAACATTTATACAAAGTCATGTAACCTCTCAGCAATTAAGAAAAACAAGACACATATGGATGATGTTTACAGGATATATCACTAAGTAGTAACCAGAATGGATTAAACCATGTGCAGAACCTATTTTCAAATCCTACGGAAATATGCAGTTGGTCAGAAATATGAAAGCCAATGATAAGCCCATCCTCCTGGAAACTTTCTCCACTGTTACTTTACAAATACCAAAAGCTTCTGATTTTTCTCTCACCTATCTGGCCATTTCTTCTCTATTTTCTTTGTTTTCTCTTCATGTAACCAATACTAGAGCTACTTAAAGCTAGATTATGTTCTCTGTTACATTCTCTCTTCATAGTATCTTCCTAACTGATTATATCTAGGACTACGACTTTAAAAGCCATATAATTGCTGATAACTCCAACACTTTTACATATACCTCTAACATTGTCTTGAACTGTAGGCATGTATATTTAACTGCCTATTTATTTGCCCCACTTAAATGTGTAATAGTCCCTTTAAACATGATATATCCAAAATAGAGTTCTCAAGCTTTCCCCAAAAATAATTTTCAAACTTTTCTACCCTTAAAATTTACCCAATTATTTAACCAATTTATTTATCCCTAATTTATTCTTTCTTCTGTTTTTTTTTTTTTTCTGTTTTTTTGTTTTGTTTTGTTTTTTGGTGTTTTTTTTGAGACAAAATCTCACTCTGTTGCCCAGGCTGGAGTGTAGTGGCACAATCTTGGCTCACTGCAACCTCTGCCTCCCAGGTTGAAGCAATTCTCCTGCCTCAGCCTCCCAAGTAGCTGGGATTACAGGCACGCATCACCATGCCCAGCTAATTTTTGTATTTTTAGTAGAGACGAGATTTTTGCCTTGTTGGCCAGGCTGGTCTCGAACTCCTGGCCTCAAGTGATTTGCCCACCTCAGCCTCTCAAAGTGTCAGGATTACTGGCGTGAGCCACCACGTCCAGCCCTGATTTGTTCTTTCTATTCATATACCCCTATACATTCTATTAGTAAATTCCAACAGCAAGACTCCCAGAATATATGTGAGTATATTTCAAATATTTTCACTTTTATCTGTTTGAACTGAAACCTGTTAATTCAATCTACTACCTTGTACTTTTTGAATTTCTGAAATTTTCTTCTAATCATCTCCCTACCGCCACCTAACCTGACTCCAATCAATTTGCTACAAAACATCCAGAATAAATGTCATAGCAATCACATACCTATTATGAAATATCTCAGTGATTTTCCATTGCTCTTATAACAAACTTCAAATTTATTAAGTTTATTAAATTATCCTAGTGATCTGGTCCTTTCAGATAGATATCATATTCTCCAGAAGAGCATAAATCAATCAAAATATTTTCTACCCAACCCAAGGCACACAACGTATTCTAAAGTCTACTCTGTATCTAATTGGTGCTCAGTAAAAAGTTGATTTCAGGATCTCTTTGAAAACTTCACTGATGTTTTCACTTTAGTCTCCATCTAGTTAATTATTGTTGATACATGTGAATATCTACCTATACTTCTCTAAAAAGCCTATGAGATATATCATATCCTTTTGAAATAACCTCAACCTTCACATTTACTTATCCTTTCTAATCCCCATTTCCTATGTCAAGCTACCTAATGAAAGAACAAGATTTGAAGTTTATGGTTTTTAATTTTAACTATGCCTGCACTCAAAACACGATCCCTCCATATGAATAGAGTTGTGTAAAATAACATCCCTAAGTTGAATGTGTGTTGTAGAACATTTTTAATGCTATTTGGCTACATTTATTTTGTATTAAATTATAATTGTATAATTGTGTAATATGTGTGAAGCATACTTACTTATTGGGAACAATGTACTTATTCCATTTTAGTTGATTCATTGACTGATATAGGAGCTCACTGTGGGCAGAGACTTTGCCTAATTCATCACTGTGTCATCGGTGCCAATAATAATTCCTGACACATAAAGGTCATTCAATGAATAATAGTTAAATGAATGAATGAATAAATGAGTTGTCATTTTATTTTCACATCAGTTTTGGGAGACAATTCTTCATGGGTCTCTCATATTTCTGCACATCTTTAAAGTCAAGTTACTGAGTGTCCTTTTTTCCGGAATATATTTAAAAGGAGGTTATTTTAACAGAAAGACTAAGAACAGAGAGATAGTTCTTGTCTCCAAAATAAAATGCAGTCATGCTTAAAAGCATAAAGATAATATCTCCTTCCCGAGCAATGGGTATGCATTTTTATTGTCCATTATAAATTATAGTTCTTTTCTATAATACAATCTACTGCATGTACAGGTTTCAATTAACCCTTCTCAAAGCAAAATTTTATGAGGCAATTGTAAACAGGCAAGAAATACTTTATTGAAGGCTTGCAATCAGGAAGAGAAGATAAAACTGTGACTGAACTCAACTCTTCTAAAACAAAGGTGGTAGAGTTTTGGGGAACTAGATTGGGTAGGTGGATCATAAGCGATCTGTGTTTGCTAATTGGCCTTACTCAAAAGAATGGTTAACTTTCTTCTGTCTTTATTTCAAAAAGTAGTTTTATAGCTTGCAGCAAGGTACCAACTGAAATTAGGCTCCTATACTTTCAGGAGTCTGGGAGATAGAATATCTTAATGACTAAATTTCAAAGGAACTGCAGCTCCCGAGTCCTTGAGAAAGATAGTCCTGGGTTGTGAAACTGGCAAGAGGTTTTATCGAAGATTTACATCTCAAAGAAGCAGAGAAATAATTTACAGTTATAAGTTTTCTAAAGTAAATGCTCTAAGGAAAATGAAGTCAGGGCTCTAGACACAGGACAAAACTGTCTGAAGTTTGATCAAGAGAAGGGAAACAGTAAGGTCACTTTGATTACCTTCTTTGGATCACCCTATGGGAATTGGGGCGTGGGGAACCAGCAACAGAAACAAAAATTGATGGTACTCTGATTATTGCTGTTGCTATGAGTAATAAACTGTATTTCTTCTTTGATCTAGGAGTCATGTCTTAATCAATATGCATAAATTTGTGGCAGTCTAATTTGTCAGCTTGGTAATAGGGTAAAACTCACAGATGCTTCAGACTTCTTTATAATCAGGCTTCAAATTGTACCCTTTTAGGAAATATTCATCAGAATTTCTGTACAGCTAAAGAGCACATCAATCAATATTTACATTATATTTAAATATTTAGCAACTGTTGAGCATTTAAGAAAATTTATTTATGAAGATGTGAGTTTACTAGAAAAGCAATGAGTACTAGTTATATATATCTTCCCATGGATGGCTCTCTATTAATTGTATTTAATTGCTTGTGTTTAGTAATTTTAGCTAATAATATGAAAGATGTCATATTTTCTAAGCTTTACATAAGTTTATTTTAACCTTTTTGGGAAACCAAAGCACAGAAAATACTATTCTGAAATTCAGATTGGTAATATTACATTGCTTTAAGGTAACATTGTTGTAAGTAACAAAGTATTTTAAATAGCAGTGTAGAAATGCTCTTTAAAAGTAGAGGCCCAAGACGTCTTACCTTTGATTCTTAGTATCTGTTTCTTCATATGGTCATAAATATGGGAATTAGTATTATTTTATAAAGCATCTAGGTCATAATACTATTTTTGGCTCCCAATTTTGTTTTCACTTTAATGGAATGATTCAATTAATGGTAGGTAGTTTCTATGAGATTGTAATAGTTTTCTTAACAACTGAAGTCTATGCTGAATGAATTCATAGTTTTGTACTGTTGCTTTGATTTTTAAAATCTCACTGTGAAATAAATCTATTCAATTTTTAATTTTTTTTCATTTTATTATGTTAGGGACACTTAACATGAGATCTACCCACTTAACAGATTTTTAAATGTACAATATGATATTAACTATAGGCACTACATTCATTTATCTAATATTTTAGGTGTAACAGTACTTGAAGGCCCTATTTATGCTGTGGGAGGCCATGATGGCTGGAGCTATCTGAATACAGTGGAAAGGTGGGATCCACAGAGTCAACAATGGACATTTGTAGCCAGTATGTCAATTGCTCGGAGCACAGTTGGTGTAGCAGCATTGAATGGCAAGTAAGTAAATTTTTTTCTTATTTTTTAATCTTAGAAAAAAAGTTATTGGGTAAATATTATTTGAAAAATAAGTTTTAATAAGCTGGTAAAAATTGTTTTAAAACATTTTAAGCTGTTGATATTTTTAAATTGACAAATAAAGACTGGTGCTCTCTCTATAGACAACGGAACCCAAAATTGCTTCACATTAATTGATGATTAAAGAAGTATCAAATACATTTCATGGGAATATTTATATCACTTTTGAATAAATAGTTGAGTAGCCTTCAAAAAACTACTAAAAGTTTGGTGTTCAATATATCTTTCTTTACATAATTACACTAGTTTACTTTCCAAGCATCTTCATTCCTATCCCTCTAAATCAAGAATTCTCAACCTCAACACTATTGATATTTGAGGCTAGATGAGTCTTTGTTGAAAGAAGTCTTCTGTCCTGTGCATTTCAGAGTGTTTAGAAGTGTCCTGGGTTTCTACCCACTAGATGCCCCTCACCCACCACCTCATTGTGACACGCAAAAATATCTCCAGATATTGTCTACTATCCCCTGGGAAGTGGCAAAATACAGCCCCTGTCTTCCCCATGAGAACCACAGATCTAAACAAAGCTAGTATCACCTCTTGTCTAGAAAACTGCAACAGCTTCTAGTCTGATCTTTTAAATTATTTTCTCTTCAGTCTTATTTATGAAGGCTTCCAGAGAAATCCTTTTACAAATGCAAACAATATGTCAATCCTCTTCAAGGACTTGTCTTTTATGATCTTTGTTGATTTAAAGTCTATTTTGTCAGAAACTAGGATTGCAACCCCTGCTTTTTTCTGTTTTCCATTTGCTCAATAAATTTTCCTCCATCCTTTTATTTTGTCTGTGTATGTCTTTGCATGTGAGATAGGTCTGTTGAATACAGCACACCAATGAATCTTGACTCTATCCAGCTTGCCATTCTGTGTCTTTTAATTGGGGCATTTAGCCCATTTACATTCAAGGTTAATATGGTTATGTGTGAATTTGATCCTGACATCATAATGCTGTCTGGTTATTTTGCAGACTTGTCTATGTAGTAGCTTCATAGTGTCACTGGTCTGTATAGTTAAGTGTGTTTTCGTTGCGGCTGGTAACAATTCGTCCTTTTCATATTTAGTGCTTCCTTCAGGAGCTCTTGCAAAGCAGGCTTAGTGGTGACAAATTCCCTCAGCATTTGCTTGTCTGAAAAATATTTTATTTCTCCTTCACTTATGAAGCTTAGTTAAGCTAGCTATGAAATTCTAGGTTGGAAATTATTGTCTTTAAAACTGTTGAATACTGACCCCCAGTCTCTTCTGGTTTATAGGGTTTCTGCTGAGAGGTCTGCTATTAGTCTGATGGGCTTCCCTTTACAGGTGACCTGGCCTTTCTCTCTGGCTGCCCTTTGCATTGTTTTCTTCATTTCGACTTTGGCGAATCTGATGATTATGTGTCTAGGGGTTGGTCTTCTTGTGGAATATCTTACTGGGGTTCTCTGGATTTCCTGAATTTGGATTTTGGCCTGTCTTGGTAAGTTGGAAAAGTTCTCCTGGATGATATCCTGAAGTGCGTTTTCCAACTTGGTTCTGTTCTCCCCATCTCTTTCAGGTACCCCTATCAGATGTAGGTTTGGTCTTTAAGCACAGTCTCATAGTTCTCAGAGGTTTTGTTGATTCCTTTTTGTTATTTTTTTCTCTAATCTTATCTGCCTGCCTTGTTTCAACAAGATAGTCTTCAAGTTATGATATTCTTTCTTCTGCTTGGCTTATCCAGCTACTGATACTTGTGTTTGCATTGTAAAGTTCTGTTGTGACTGACTTTCAGCTCTATCAGGTAATTTATGTTCCTCTCTAAATTGGTTATTCTGGTTAACAGCTCCTGTAGTGTTTTATCATGGTTCTTAGTTTCTTTGCAATGAGTTAGGACATAACCCTTTAGCTCAGTGAAGTTTGTTGTTACCCATCTTCTGAAGCCTGCTTCTCTCAATTCGTCCATTTCAGCCTCCGCCCAGTTCTGTGCACTTGCTGGAGACATGTTGCTATCATTTGGAGAAGAAGAAGCACTCTGGCTTTTTGAGTTTTCAGCATTTTTGTGTGTAGATTCTTTCTCATCTTCATGGATTTATCTGCCTTTGATTTTTGAAGCTGCTGACTGTTGGATGGGGTTTTTATGGGGTCTTTTTCATTGATGTTGTCGTTGTTGCTTTCTGTTTGTTTTTCTTTTAGCAGTCAGGCCCCTTTTCCATAGGGATGCTGCAGTTTGGTGGGAGTCCACTTCAGATGCTATCTGCCTGGGTCCGTCCCGCCCCTGGAGATACCATCATTGGAGGCGGCAGACTAGCAAAGATGGCAGCTTGCTCCTTCTTCATGGAGCTCTGTCTCAGAGGGGCACCAACCTGATGCCAGCCTGAACACTGCTGTACAAAGTGTCTGGAGACTTCTGTTTGCAGGTCTCACCCAGTCAGGAGGAGCAGGATCAAGGACCCACTTAAATAAGCAGTCTGACTGCAGCTTGGTGGGGCAGGTGTGCTGTGCTGGGGAAAATCCCCCTCGTCTGGGCTGCCCTTACTCTCCAGAGCCAGCAGCCAGAAAAGACTGAGACCACTGATGCGTGATACTACAGCTGCCCCTCCTCCTATGGGCTCCTCTCAGGGATATCAGAGTTCTCTTCATAAATCCCTGGCTGGGGATGCTGAAATTCCCATGGGGAGGCCCCCTCTAGTGAGCAGGAGTGGATCAGGGTCCTGCTTAAAGAAGCAGTCTGGCCACGAACTGACCCAGTCACTGTGTTCCCCTGTGAGAAGTTTGCTCCCAGTCCAGACCGCCCAGTCTTGCTGGCACCAGCAGCAGAGGGAAACAGCTGACTGGAGCCACAGTGATGGCAGCAGCCCTTCCCTCTCTGGGAACCCATCTTCTTAGGCAGTCTCTAGCCTGCTGTGCTGGCCGCCAGAGATTCCAAGCCATTACGTTTTAGCTTGTGGGGTTCCGTGGGAGCGAGGCCACTTGGCTCCCTGGCATCAGCCTCCTTCCCACGGGAGTGGACGGATCTCCTGCCTCATGGGAGTTTCCAGAGCATAAGTATGCAAATACTCCTGTGTCCAGTGCCTGCTCCAGCAGCTGCCTGCCCGAGCAGCCACCATGAGTCTGCACAGCTTTGTGCTTGTGACTGAAGGCCCTGGTGGTATGGGCTCATGAGGGGACCTCCTGATCTGTGGATTGCAAGGATCCATGGGAAAAGCATAGTTTTCAAGGAGGGGTAGCACAATCCCTCACTGCCTTCTTTGGCTAGGAAAGGAAGCTCCCAGTGCCCTGTACATCTCCTGGTGGACCTTCACTCCACCATGCTTTTCCTCACTTTCCGTGGGTTGCGCCAACCACCTAGTCAGTCCTAATAAGAGAAAATTGGTACCTCAATTGAAGATGCAGAATTCACTTGCCATTTTTTCCTTCTCACTGGGAGCCGAGAGCAGAGCTGTTTCTATTTCCCATATTGGCTACTCCCTCCTATTGTCTCATTCTTATGCCTTTGTATCCTCACAGCTTATCTCCCACTTACGAGAGAATATACTATGTTTGGTTTTCCATTCCTGAGTTAATTCTCTTAGAATAATGATCACCAGTTCCAACCAGGTTGCTGCAAATGCCATTATTTCATTTCTTTTTATGGCTGAGTAGTATTCCATGGTGTGTGTATATATATATACATATATATATCTCACAATCTCTTTATCCAATCACTAATTGATAGGCATTTGGGCTGGTTCCATATTTTTGCAATTGCAAATTGTGCTGCTATAAACAGGCATGTGCAAGTATCTTTTTTGTACAATGACTTCTTTCCTCTGGGTAGAGGCCCAGCAGTGGGATTGCTGGATCAAATGGTAATCCTACTGTTAGTTCTTTAAGGAATCTCCACACTGTTTTCCATAGAAGTTGTACTAGTTTACATTCCCACCAGCAGTGTAAAGGTGTTCCCTTTTCACCACATCCATGCCAAAATCTGTTTTTTTTAAATCTTTGGATTATGACCATTCTTGCAAGAGTAAGGTGGTTAAATCCATTGTGGTTTTGATTTGCATTTCCCTGATCATTAGTGATGTTGAGAATTTTTTCATATGTTTGTTCCTCATTTGTATATGTTCTTTTGAGAATTGTCTATTCATGTCCTTAGCCCAATTTTTAATGGGATTGTTTGTTTCTTTCTTGCTAATTTGTTTGAGTTCCTTGTAGATTCTGGATATTAGTCATTTGTTGGAGGTATGGATTGGGAATATTTTCTTCCGCTCTGTGCGTTGTCTGTTTATTCTGCTGATTGTATCTTTTGCTGTGCAGAACTTTTTTAGTTTAATTAAGTCCCATTTATTTATCTTTGTTTTTGTTGAATTTGCTCATAAAAAGTGACTTAACACTGTATATGTGCATACACACAGATACACATATACAATGAATACATATTCACATTATATATTTTGTTTAATGCAAAGGTAAGGCATATTTCTTATAATAATTGTTTTTCAAAATTTCTTTTAGTTAGTTATCCTCTAAATTAAACTTTGGTATACATTTTTCAGATTTTAAAAAGTCATCTTAAACATCCCTTCAGAATTTTCCCTGTAAATAAATATTTACAGATTAATTTGAGAAAGATGTGGGATCTCTAAATTTGAAATATTAATATTTTCTTCTGAGAAGATAGTTGTACTTTTATCTTTTAAAATTACTCTCCTTGTATTTTAGTGCTGTTTAAATTTGGCATGGTTATTCTTTCTTTCTGAGGTTATTCATGTTTATTTATATTTTTTAATATTTTACATATTATGTGTTTATTTATATCTATTTATACATTAATAATTACATAATTAAATTATAAAAGATAATTTATATATAACCATTTAACTAAATGCATATGTTATATTTACTATTCAATTTATAATAGATTTTCTAGAAAGATAAACATTTAATAAACTAGTAAGGAAACTTTTTCTGTTTTCTTAATATACATTTATTTCCTTTTTATTGTGTTGTTTATATTTTTAGAATGATTACCTAAATAGTAGTGATATCAGGTGTCCTTATCTACCTATTTTAATTGAAAACCTTTATAGTGCTTTATAGTCTCTGATATCAGTTGTTATTTGAGATACATATATTGATTAAGGTTAAAGGCAGTATTTTATTGTCTGTAGCTTCCATAGTGGAAATTTTATTTTCTAAAATTAGCATACATTTTATGAATTTGTCAAGATGATGATTGTTTTCTTATTTGATCTGTTTATGTGGTAATTTGCATAAATACTCTAACTATAAATCATATTACACATCTAAGTAAATCCTACTTGCTCATATTGCATTAATTCTTTAATTTTTGCATTCCATATTCCAGCTATGACTTTGCATCAAAGTTGCTTATAAATGATTTCACAACATTCTTCATTATGATATAAAATCTTATTTTAGCATAACATCATGGCATGAAGAAGCTTTCTACAATTTATCTGCTATAATTGACTTTAATCATGAGAAGTGTATTTTCTTGAGCATGAGAAAGAAATGACAGTAGAAGTTTTATGGACACTATTATATATAGTACCTTTAATATTCTATTTTACTGATATTCTAAAGTTTAACAGATGGCAGTCACATATCACTTCTAATTTCATCACTGCCACAAATCATTTATTTAGTATTGCTGTATCTTCATTCTATATTGTGATTGTCCTAATTTGTTATTTTTCTCTGTTAGTATTATCACTAATTTCATCTTGTCATAGCATTTGCCAGTGTCATTATATGGTTTTGTTTTTATTTTTAGTCAAACAAGCATACACGGAGGCTATGTTTATTTTCTTTCTTATTTTCTTAATAATTTTCGTTTGACTTAGTTCTACTTACTCGTCTTTAAATTCAGAATTTAACAAATTATAGTATTAATAGTTCTTGGAGTTTATTTTTCTTTATTACTGTGTTAGTTCATTCTCACATTGCTATAAAGAAATACCCGAAACTGGGAAATTTATAAAGAAAAAGCTTTACTTGGCTGTCACTTCTTCAGGCTATGTAGGAAGCATGATGATGGCATCTGCACAGCTTCTAGGGAGGCCTCAGGAAACTTACAATGGTGGCAGAAGGCCAGGGGGGAGCAGGCACATCACATGGTGAAAGTCGGAGCAAAAGATCCAGGTGGGAGGTGCTACACACTTTTAAACAACCAGATCTCACGAGCACTCACTCATTATTGTAAGGACAGTACCAAGAGGGATAGTGCTAAACCATTCATGAGAAATCTGCCCCCATGACCCAATTACCCCCACCAGGCCCCACCTCCAGCACTGGGCTGTACATTCCAATATGAGATTTGGGTGGAGACACACATCCAAACTCTGTCAATTATTATACTACAATTTAATTTATTCATTCTCCTACACTCAACTACTGAGTGTAGTTGGATATTTCAGTTGTTTCCTCTTCTTGACTATTAAGAATAATGCAGTTATGAATATTCTTATGTATATCTTTTGGTGAATGTACATACACATTTTAGCTGGCTGTAGACCTAGAACTTAAATTACTAGGCTTTACTTATTCTTGTGCTCAGCTTTAGTAGATACTGCTCAAATGTGTTTGTAAGTGGTTTTCCTAATTTGTCCACACACTAACAGATTTTTAAATTCTGAATGCTCCATGTGCCCTACTGACTTGGTAACATCCGACTTGTCTTTTATTTATCTTTATCCATTCTGATGACTAGTGCTATCACATTCTCTAAGAACTGATGTGATCAAACATCTTTAATATATGTATTAGTCATTTGTATATCTTCTGTTGAAGTTTATTTTCAAAATTTTCTCTGTTTCTATTTCTGTGTGTTCTCTTTTTCATTTTGATTTATGGAGTTCTTCATGTATTCTGAAAATTAATCATTTCCAAGTGAATGCATCTCACTTTATTATTATTACTTTCCAGTAAGTACGTGTTGATTATGTAATTTATTAGATTCTATGTCTGAAAGGGACTTTCCTGTGTCTTCTCACATTGTTTGCAAATTAGCTTAAGTAATTTAATATCTCTGCCTTGTATTTTTAAAATTCAATAGATATTATTTACTTACATTCTATCTTTTTGGGGGAGTGGGGGAGATATGTAAGTTCAGTGATTTTTTTTTTATCTTTCATATGTGTTTGTATAACCCAAACTTTTATTCTTATAGATGTTTTTACTGTGTTTATATTAGTTAACATTCAGTCAAGAGCCAGAAATCAGAACAGTCATTTATCAGTTATTCTAAACAAAGATATTTTAATATTAAATATAAAGTTTTGTTGAGTAAGTAAAAAAACTTACTAGTTAACCAAAAATCAACAAAATAACACTATATTGTAATTTAATCAACTCACAATAATAGCTACCTCTCCTGGGGGTGGAGAACTAAAAGACATGGTTAAAATGATTAAGATTTAGAAGCTTGGGGAAGGGCCCTGTGCACTGAAATTCAGTCAACTGCTATTTGGGCCACTGCTTAGCTGGAGCTAGTCTCAGAAGGAAAGACCTGGGACCCAGTGCTCTGAGAAGAAGATGCCAATCTGCTGGCGCCAATGGCTTAGAGTAGTCTCAATGAAGCCGATGGCGTGTCTTAGAAAAACCGCAAACTAGGTGTGTCTGGTGCTACAGAGCAACTCTTGCTACAGGGCTGCTACGGTGAGAAAAGGATGGGGTGACACTCACAGGAAAAAAAAAAAAGCAAACAAACAAACAAAAAACCAAGACCCTTTACTCTCCTCTAGTCTTTCAGTCTCTGCCACCCACTGATGTCAGATCCTAACAGGGAACCAGGTGGCAAAGCAGAAAAGTGGTTTTCAGAGATTTAGCCCTTATTTCAAAAGCAGAAAATACAGGAGAGGATGTAGACCTGAGAGACAACAGCTTAAAAAGTTTGTACTTCCTCCTCAAAAATCAAAATGTTTCTGGATGTACAATCTGAAGCCTACTTCTCATTCTTTTAAATTACTACTTGGAGATTCATTTTAACGATCTCAACTCTGTCTTTCTTCTGCTTAGGAAAGTTTTTAGTCTATTGAGACTCGTTTGTTTAATTGTTCCTTTTCCCATTATTCTAGTTCTCTGATTTGAGATATATTTTAGCACATACTTACGTTAATGGTTCTATGTGTGTTTTAAGACTGATTTCTTTGCCATAAGTCTCCTTCGCCAGTTAAAAAAATACATGAATTCAATCAATGCCAATTTGTTTATGATCGTTTGTATCTCCGATGCAGACTTAAAATTTTTGCATTTTAACTTTTCTTACACGATATCTTTATTTGACTCCCCTCCTTCCAATCACCTTTATAACCACCTTATTTTGAGTGTGTTATCTTGTATCTGTCAAGTCTTTATCATCTTTAAAGTCTTTTTATCATCTTTAAAGTCTTTAAAGTATATGTTTTTAGGTCAAAAAATAAAATATTTTTATATGATGGAAAAACTTCTACATGCTTTGTTTTACTTTGTTTTTCTATTTACTACTTGTGATTTTCCCTGTCACATAATATTTAAGTCTCTTAATTTTTTTCAAGGTACATTTATTTGCTCTCAAAATCCTGCTCTCAAATGTTTTGCTAGAAGTTTCCTTAGTGTCAATATCCATTATTATTTTTAAAAAGCTATTAGATAAGAAAGAAAAGGTGAACCAGAATCACAAAAAGCTAAAGCAAATAGCTACTTGTCAATTCAATCTCTTTTTTGTATTTGGTAAAGCTTTATTCTGCAGTAATGTATAAAGTGTTCGCTATTGAACTTTACACTATAATCACTCTCAATATCAAAAAATATCTGTAACCATTTCTGCTAGACTTCTTTTGGCTATAGTTGCTGAGAAAAACTCCAAATCCTACTATCACCACTGCTTTGGAAGGCTGCTGTGTAGAAGTGAAAAGGAGTTAAAATCATACACAGCCTATAGTGATGGGCTGCTTGCATAAAAAATGGTTGGTTGTTCTTCCATTACCTTCTGAGGAATACTGAGACTTCTAGAAGGAATTAAAATATTTTGTTACCAACTTTCAGTCCTATCTGCAAATTTTCTAAAAGTAATTTCTTGGAATTGTTTCTATATGAAGTAGTTACCTTCTGCTTCTCACTCCTCTCAAATACAATTTTTATTCCGTTGTGCCTTTTAATGACATTCATAGAAAAATTATGTTCATTTGTGTTAATATTGTCACTTTACTCAATAGAAAATGTATATATTTAATAATACACACATTTTATTAACACCAATTTGTGTAACATGTAAATATATACATTTATTAATACTACTTTTTCTATTTATATTCACATTTTCTCTTGAAAATGATTTTTTAAGCATTACTATATTTTTCTTTAAAGACACTTAATTTGGAAGTCAATGATAAAATTTAACATTCTTCAATATTAAATATTAAAAGTAAAACTATCCAGTGGGTATATCTATTCATGGATAGTAAAACTTACAATAATAGTAGAATGAATGTTCTCCGTCCAGGCACAGTGGCTCACCCCTGTCATTCCAACATTTTGGGAGGCCGAGGTGAGAGGATTGCTTGAGTCCAGCAGTTTGAGACCAGCCTGGGCAACGTAGTGAGACCCCATCTCTACAAATAATTTTAAAAATAACTGGGCATGGTGGCATGCTCCTGTAGTTAAAGCTACTTAAGAGGCTGAGGGGCTGAGGTGAGAGGATTACTTGAATCAGGAAGTTGAGGCTAGTGAGCTGTGATCATGCCACCTGCTCTATAGCCTGGGTGATAGAGCAAGATCCTGTATCCAGGAAAAAAAAAGGAATGGATGTTCTCTTGGATGTAAATTTTTATAATTCTAATAGAGGATAATAGAGGAAAGCATAATACTTTTTGCCTTTTTATGTTTTCTAATCACTATAAGTAACAGTCGGTTATTTAGTGACTTTTTCTTACCATTTACATTGACAGCAATAGATTTATTCCTGGTATTGTTTTTAAAATGGATATCTCATTAACACAGCAAATTTGCCTAATATGGGTGAGAAGTATCCTGTCCTTTCATTATCTTATTCACTTTTTACATTATTTTGTAATGAAAACACACACACACACACACACACACACACACATTAAAGTGTTAGTACATTACTTATCCATATTTTTTGGATAATTAGCTTGCATTATAGCTCTGTGACCTTCTTTATGACTTTACTTTGAATAACCTTAAAATATGTATTTTGTTGTAAATATTCTCCAATCTTAATCAGAAATAAATGGAGAAAATATTTAACGCAGAGTCTTGTGGCAATTTCTTACATGTTGTTATGACTAAATTGTCTATCTAGTTTCTTCTACTGTCGCTTTTAAATTGACTATACATAGAAATCACTATTCAGATTACTTTTCCTGTACTTGTATTTTTTGGTCAGCTAGCATACATCATATATTAAGAAATCCTGTTTTGCTCTAGTATCTTTCTTCGTAAAAAATATCAGAGTGTGATATCAATACTCTTTGAAGTTTTTAATTCTTACATTGCCAAAATTGCTTACACTTTAATTAAATATGAATTTTAATTCTATTCTGTGAAAATGTTTTGAATGGCTCCATTTTTTACTTGATTTTTTTTCCTTTAAATTGAGTTAGTAGAGCTTTTACTTGGCATCTTTTTCTTCTCCCTGGGTGTGATTTAATGGCTTTAAAATTCTGTGGTTTGATGACTGGCTATTAATGTCTGGGTACTTTTCCTATGTTACTCAGAAACATAATCATTAGAAAATGACCTTTTACTTCAGACCCATAGCAGAAAATTGTTTTAACATCACCCTCTTACATTTTTTTGTTTGTTTTTTTCCTCACCTCTGCTGACGTGATTTTTTCCCCTTGTTTTGCTATCACGTAACACTAATGTGTCATTCTAACCTGGCTGTTGTTTCCCTAAATATTATTTTCAACACTTTTTCCAATTAAGAGTAATAAAAAACAATGAACACTTATCTTAAGTTTAGGTTATTCATGACACTATTTCTTGTGGAAGAAAAAACCAAGAAATTGGTTTATGGCTTAAAATTAATGAGTGTGTTCTGACGGATTCAAGACCAAAATTGCATCAATTTCATATAACAAATTTAGTGAGGCTTCTAGTAAGACAGATTAAGCTAAGGGGTATATATGCCAGCACAGCCAGACTCACTTGGTGAATAAAGAAAACACACACAAAAAAAGTGAATAAACGTCGATGTGTGGTGCTTGGCCAAATATAACCTCAGATTCCCCAAACAATATAGACAGACATTAGTGGTTATTTTTGTTTCTTCTTTGGTAGCTGTCTTGGCTTGGTTCTTTTGCACTTTACATTCTAGCTAAGATGTCTTTTTGTGATTTTTAAAAAATTTTCTTAGCTCACAAACAGATACTGATTCTGCCTGAACACATCTTATAAGTAGGCTTGAATTTTAATAAATATGTAGTACCACCCCCTTAAGAATCTGCAAAATGTATAAAAACAGAGTTTCTTTCATGATTTACTATGGGAAAATGGATTCATTCATTCATTCATTCAAATCTTCATGTTAATAATTTTTTTTTTGAGATGGAGTCTCGCTCTGTCACCCAAGCTGGAGTGTAGTGGCACAATCTCAGCTCACTACAACCTCTGCTTCCCAGGTTCAAGCAATTATTCTGCCTCAGCCTCCCAAGTAGCTGGGATTACAGGCATACGTCACCACACTTTGCTTTTTTTTTTTTGGCATTTTTAGTAGAGACGGGGTTTCACCATGTTGGCCAGGTTGGTCTCCAACTCCTGACCTCAGGTGATCTGCCCACCTTGGCCTCCCAAAATGCTAGAATTACAGGTGTGCAAAGCTTCATGCTAATAATTCTGGAACCTGGGAAGCGGAGGCTGCAGTGAGCTGAGATTGCGCCACTGCACACTCCAGCCTGGGAGACAGAGACTCTGTCTCAAACAAACAAACAAACAAACAAACAAACAATTTTTACAAGGCAGTTGTAATTTCTGTTCAGTCTGAAGCACATATGGCTTAAAGCATTACGAAAGCAGGATTCATTGTCTGTTGTTTTTCCATTATGTCCTAATACCTAGCACAGTGCCTTAAGCCTCAAGGTCCATCACTTGCATAGTGCCTTCCAACACTCTGTTTCTATTTTTTATTCAAATTTTGGTATTCTTCTTCTCAAAGGTGGCACCCCAAATTGTATACATTTTAATTAATCTTAGACTCACACATTAAAAAAGAAAGAAAAAAAAGAAATTGCTGTTTACTGAATCTCAGTTGGGGCTACTAATCAGCTCAGGAGAATTTTAATTCACATACTGAAAGAGATGATTTTTAAGGGACCTGATTGATTTATTAGATATCCAGAATGGATATGTGATGGGGGGAATCATTCCAATAAGAAAGAAAAATTTGTATCAAGTCCTTGAATATAAAATGCAAAATTTAAGTTTGGCAGGGAGTGGCCCCAAAGAGATCATATAGTAACTTGGCTGAGGTAAAAATATTGCAAAGATTAAAAAAAAAAAAAGAGCAGTGATGTGTTTTCATTTCAATTTTATAAATATTCACTCTGGTTGAAGAGTTGTTTCTAATTGCTCAAGGAAACTGTACAATTAGTAGAATTTCATCACAATAGTTGACTGGCTAAGATATATGCCAATTGTTGAAACGTATTATTTAATAAATTATGCCTCAGAATTAAAATGTATTTCAACAACTCATTTTGGTGCCATATTTGAGCATGGTCATTTCCAGGTTCTTCATTCTAGAATACAGTGGTTTTAATAGCTTAGACTTCACTTTCTTTCTCCATTCTCTTTTCTTGACACTTGCCTTACAACCACCTGATGTCCCAGCCATACCAAATCATTCCAGCTCCCTGAACCTACCTAGATTGTCCACACCCCTTTGCCTTTTCACTTACTCGTTTCTGCCTAGATTCCCCTTTCATTGCTTTTTCTTATTAACTTGTGACTGTCCACTATTCACTGTCCACTTAGTTTCCTGCTCAATATTCACTTGGTCTTTGAATACATTTGAAAACTCTCTAGATTGATAAACAAACCCAAGTCTAGCTCTCTATGTGCAAGATCTGTGTGGCAAGATCAGTATTAACAGGACTGAGTTTATTGTACTTAAGAACAATAGTGTCAAGAAATGTTAAAATATATTAAGATCTGCTTTTGCTTAAAACCAAAATAAGATTATTTATATTTTCTACCATCCAAAGCATAGTTTAATCTGTACCTTTCCTATGAACCCTTTTTGAATCCACCCAGTTAAAATTAATCTTTCTTTCTTCCCTACTTTTGTGTTCCCGAGACACATAATTAATAATTTTCCCTGCCATTTGTCAAAGTCTTGCTTCAGTGGAACTTAAACAGGTGCTTTTTCATTGATAAGTTTCCACAGATAAATCACTATTTTTTCTAGAATTAAAAACAAGTGCTTCATTCATTTTTTAAAAAATTTCACAAACATGTACTGGTCATGATGATATATCAAAGAAGATAAATAAATTCTGCCCTCAGAGAGCTTACATTATACTAAAAGGAACTAGAAAACAATAACAAATAATTTGCAGGATTATAAAACGCGTAGAGTTGGAGCAGAGGAAACACGGAGGGATTAAGGTTGAACTGACAGTTTTGGGTTGGTGAATTCTGCCAAGTTTGGATACATGATGAATTGATCTAAATTAATTCACATATTTACAATTGTCAGATTCTTTTCATAAATTTGGGTATGTTTTAATAAATAAAGGTAGGTAGACCCTATCAGGCTTCAGAACCTCATTTACCAGCTGTGTGTTATAATAGTAGCAAGTGACAAGAGGAGTTTGCAATAGACACCATCATTTCTTAGCAACTAGAAAGAAAAGCAGTCACCAATGTATTGTTGTAGCTTAGTGAAATCCCACTCACTGTCCTGTAAAGCACGTTAAAATATTTCCCATGGAAAGGCAGATATAGGAGTAATCTGACAGCAGGATTGACAGGCTTTCTCATGGCATCAGATGAAAGAGCTCTTCGTTAATTAGAAAACAAAGAACCAAGCTAAGTTCTGGATCTAGAGAGTTTCTTCAAAGGCACTGGAGTTGAGGGATTCTAATCCTTTTATTGTGCAACAGAAAGGATGCCTAAACACTTTTTCTGGGTAACCAAATACAGTGAGTGAAAATTACATTTAATATCCCAAGCTACTTAGCAAAACATTCTAGTATTTACATAATGGTATGGGAGTGCTTTCTGTGCACTTTCCTTGAAATATCCTTTATTGGTAAAGTATGAAAAATTGTAAATAACTATACATAGGATACAGATTATAAATAAAGCTAAATTTCAGGGAACAAGACAAAATGGGATCAGAAAAGACTTTCTAGTGGAGACACAACCTCAGCTGACTGAGAGATGAGTAGACATAACCCTGCATATGTAATGAAAAGCTACCTATGATAAAGTAAATATGAATGCACCATGCTACATAGGGCTAGAAAAGATCTAGTGCTATGGCACTAGCTCTTTCTTCTGATGCCATGAGAAAGCTTGTCAATCCTGCTGTCAGATTACTCTTATATCTGCCTTTCTGTGGGAGGTATTTGTTAATATGCCTTACAGGACAGTGAACAGGATTTCACTAAGCTACAACAATACATTGGTGACCGCTTTTCTTTCTACTTGCTAATAAATGATGATGTCTATTGCAAAATCCTCTTGACACTTGCTACTATTATAACACATAGCTGGTAAATGAGGTTGTGAAGCCTGATAGAGTATGAATGAGTTTGGCTAATTGTCCACCAATACTCATTCACTCCTTTTTATATGACAATATAAACACACATTTTTAGTGAGGCATATGGCCATCTAAAATAAAGACAAGACTTTCCAGCATCTTACTAACTAGGTATAACCATGTGTCTGGTTCTGACCTATGAGATGTGAGAAGTGAGTTGTGCACCCTAAAAGATGGACTCTTTAAGGGAGGGATGGTGCTCCTTCTTCCAATTTTCCTTCATCCTGCTATTTGAACCATGGTTGTGGTAACTGGGACTCCACTTTGGGACATCAAGACATGAGGGTTAACAGACAATTGTCCATGGGATTTTAGCATTACTCCATATTTTCCAAACAATAATTACTGGTGACTGTTTTTCATAACATATTTTCAGGATATTTGTAAATCAAAGAGTTGGAAGATAAAGATAGTGACTTCCTCTTGGTCAGAGAGTAGAGAATTGTTCCTTGACCAGAATCATAAAGATAATGTCTCCCTTCAGGGCAAAGGTTGGACAGGTTTTCTGGCAGCCTCTTTAAAGGATTAGAGTTTCCAAAACTCAGAGATCCCTTGGATGTGAAACAAACCCACCACATGTGCAGCATTCACTTGAGTTGCTCCAAATCACGCTGGTGAGGCTTGGGGGAAATAAGTAGAGCAGATGTAAACATGATATTTATTAATTCACTTATTCCTCCTGCATAATAGATTTTTTACTGGGCAAATTTGGTTTAATATATAGCATCTTAATTAATTTTCTTATTGAGGCCATTTCTTCCTATCCAAGCTTGTTGAGTTTTTATCATGAAAATGTGCTGATTTTGTGAAATGCATTTTCTGCATCTATTGAGATGATCATGTGATTTTTATCCTTTATTCATGTGGTGTATGTATGGCTTTAATCAAGATTTTTTGTTGAACTATCCTTGCATCCTAGGTATAAATTCTATTTGGTCATGGTTTATGTACTCTTGGATTCAGTTTGCAGGTATTATGATGATAATTTTTGTATGTATATTCATAGGGATGTTAGCCTCTAGTTTTTGTTTGTTTGTTTGTTTTTGGTGGTGTCTTTGTCTGGCTTTGGTATTAGGGCAATGCTGACCTCACAGAGTGTGTTCAGAAGTGTTCTGTCTTCAATATATGAACGAATTTGAGAAGAATTAGTATTAATTCTTCTTTAAGTGTTTCTGATGTGAACCCAAAATTTCTTAGACAGGTGTCAGTCAATTTAGAAAGTTTATATTGCCAAGGTTAAGGACACACTCATAACACACCCTCAGGAGGTCCTGACGACATGTGCCCAAGGTGGTCAGGGGTACAGCTTGCTTTATACATTTTATGGAGACGTAATACATCAACCATTACATGCAAAATTTACATTGGTTCAATCTGGAAGGGTGGGCTACTCCAAGGCAAAATTGGGGACTTCCAGGTCATACATAGGCTTTAAATTTTTCTGACACGTAGCCAGGCACGGTATCTCACGACTGTAATCCCAGCACTTTGGGAGGCCGAGGCAGATGGATCACAAGATCAGGAGTTCGGACCATCCTGGCCAATATGGTGAAACCCTGTTTTTACTAAAAATACAAAAATTATCCAGGCGTGGTGGTGGGCACCTGTAGTCCCAGCTACTTGGGAGGCTGAGGCAGGAGAATCACTTGAACCCGGGAGGCAGAGGTTGTAGTGAGCCAAGATCACTGCATTCCAGCCTGGGCAAAAAAGCAAGACTCCGTCTCAGAAAAAAAAAAAAAAAAAATTCTGACTGGCAACTGGCTGAAAGAGTTATTATCAGCCGAAAGGAATGTCTGGGTTATGATAAGGGGTTGTGAAGACCTAGGTTTTATCATGTAGATGAAATCTCCAAGTAGCAGCATTCAGAGAGAATAGATTGTAAATGTTTCATATCAGACTTAAGGTCTATGTTGATGTTAATGCTGGAGGGGTTTAATGAGGTATGTCCAACCTCCTCTTCTATCATGGCCTGAATGAGATTTTCAGGTTAACTCGAGAGTGCCTTTGGCCAAGAGGAGGGGTCTATTCATATCATTGGGAGCCTTAGAATTTTATTTTTGGTTTACAGTGAGAATGTACCAGTGAAGTCATCTGGTCCTGGGCTTACTTTCTTTTTTTGTTATTGACACATAATAATTCTACATATTCATGGGTTATAATGCTATGTTTTGATACTTGTATATATTGTCTAATGAACAAATTAGGTAATTAGTATATTAATCACCTTAAACATGTATCATTACTTTGTTGTGAGAACATTCAAATCCTCTCTTCTAGCTATTCAAACTATGCAATGCATTATTGTTAGTCGTAGTCACTCTAATGTGCAATAGAGTACCAAAAGTTATTTCTCCTAACTGCAAAATTGTACCCATTGACCAACCTCTCTCCATCTACCCCTCCCCACTAGTTCTCTCCAGTCTTTGATAACCACTGTTTTACTCTCAAATTCTATGAGACATTCTTTTTAGAGTATACATGTGAGTGAGATAATGTGGTATTTGTCTTTCTGTGCCTGGCTTATTTTGCTTAATATAATGTCCTTCAGGCTCATCCATGTTATAGAAAATATTAGGAGTTTATTGTTTTTATGGCTGAATAGTATTCCATTGTGTTCCAACAAATGGAGCACATTTCCATTATCCATTTATCCATTGTTGAGCATTTAGTTGATTCCGTATTTTGGCTATTGTGAATAGTGCTGCAATAAACATGGAAGTGCAGCTGTTTCTCTTATATACTGGTTTCATTTCCTTTGAATATACACCAAGTAGTGAGATTGCTGGATCATATGGTGAATCTACTTGTAATTTTTTGAGGGACTACCCTCAAAAAACTGTTTTTCGTAATGGTTTTTCGTAATGGTTTTCCTAATTTACATTGCCATAAACAATGTATGAGTTTCTCCTTTTTCACATCCTCATCAGCATTTATTATTTTTAATTTTTTTGGCAATAGCTTTTGCAACTGGAGTGAGGCGATATCTCATTGTGGTTATGATTTGCATTTCTCTGATGGTTAGTGCTGTTGAGAATTTATTCATATATCTGTTTGCTCCTGGAATTTTCTTTGTTGGGAAGTTTGACTACTGATTCAATATCCAAAATCTGAACAGACCTATATGTAGTTTGATACTAGATTAGATAGATATAGGTCTGTTCAGATTTCATATTTCTTCATGATTTAGTCTTGGTAGGTTGTATGTCATCATTGCTTTTTAATGTAAATTTAGGTATATATTTATATATAATTTTTGAAATAATTTCAGAAACAGAAAATGTATGATCTATTATTGCCTAGAACTATTTTATTATTAATTATCAACAATATTTGGTTCAAATAACTCAATAGTATAATTTATCAGAGTAATGTTTATGAATAAATAAAGCAGCTTGAAGTAAACATTTCCTTTAAAACAATAGAGAATAAGAAGTTCATATCATGTTTATTTATAAACTATGTACGAGAGCTGTGCTAGGTGTCTCACAGAAAGATGCCCATAAGTAAAGTCCCTGCAAAATACATTTGGTTACATTTTAATATCTTAGGGTTATTCCATACTTCTTTTGAGTTAAATCATCAATTTAAATGAAACAGAAGTAAGTGAGGTTCAGATTTCATAAGGTGTTTAGAATGATTAAAAACTTGTAAGTGAATGATTATTTCACTTCTGGGTGCTTTTGCAAGCTAAATTGTTCAATACTTGTTTTTTAAAATGTTCCTATTGGTTAATTTTAGCATACCACAAGATTGAGAGTTAGCAGACTACTTGTGAGTAATCAAGCAAAGAGGTATTACACGCATCAAGGGAACACTTGGGCAATCAGATATATTTTACTATGGCAGCCATTATGAGAAACATAAACAGCTTTAGAAAAACATTCCCAGGATTTAAAATAATTTTACATATCACATTTTAGAGTTATTATATGGTATTAGAGCATGAATTTGTAAATCTACATCCTGATTGATTTTATGCTAAGTAATACTGTCTTCCTATGCATTTATTTAGAAATTGAATATTATAGATTTAAGTCTACTTATAAATATATTATATTGGATATATTGTCCATAGTAAAGAAAAAATTTCATCTGCGAACCCAAAATATCTGAGACAGGTCTCAGTCAATTTAAGAAGTTTATTTTACCAAAGTTAAGGGCTCATGACCATTACACAGCCTCGGGAGACCTGACAATGTGTGCCAAAGGTGGTTGGGGCACAGCTTGATTTTATACATTTTAGGGAGATACGAGACATCAATCAATATGTGTAAGATATACATTGGTTCCTTCCGGAAAGGTGGAACAAATCGAAATGGGGAGGGGGCTTCCAGGTCATAGGTAGGTTAAGAGACAAGTGGTTCCATTCTTTTGAGTTTCTGACTAGCCTTTCCAAAGGAGGCACTCAGATATTCACTTATCTCCGTGAGCAGAGGGATGACTTTGAGTTCTGTCTGCTGTCCTTTGTCCACAAGGAAATTCCTTGTAAGGGAGGTACATAGCTTTATATATATATATATATCTTAGTAGCTATCTTTTCTAGGAATAGAATGGGAGGCAGGTTTGCACTAAGGAGTTCCCAGCTTGACTTCCCTTTGGCTTTAGTGATTTGGGAGTCCCAGGATTTATTTTCCTTTCACACATCTAATCTCATTAAAACACAAACTAATCATATTCTCCCTCTATTCAAAAACCACTATGGCTTCCTGTTGTACTCAGGAGAAAAGTCTACATGCACCTTGTAAGCTGCCATTCACCTTGAACCACCACTCTCACCTCAGCCTCTGCCCCAGCCACACTGACTTCCTTCCTGCTTCTGAAACTTTTCACTCACTATTTAGTCATCCTCAAATCTTCCTTCCCCAGATATTCCTGAACTCACCTCCAATCACTACCACTCTCTTCCAAGTTTTTTTGCAAAAGGTTTCAGTGAGACCTTTTCTGGTTACTTATTTAAATTGTATCCACAATCTCTACCCTCACCAGTTGCATTACTGATCCTGCTTCTGGATTCTATGTCCCTTGCACTTTGAACCTTCCCCAGTAGTAAATGACATTTATGTTTACTTTGTATATTCTGTCTATCCCTGTTTCAGCAGAATTGAGTGCATGGATTTTTTTTCCTGTTTTGTTCATGGACATATCAATAAAAGTTTTAACAATGTGTGACACACCCTAACCATTCAAAAATATGTAGTGAGCAAATGGATAAGTAAATAAATGCAATGCTGTGCCTTACTGTGATAAAATCATGACTATGATTAAATGGGGAAGGACTATTTTATTAGGATTAAACTGTATTCAAATCATGTTAGTACCATTTATGATGCATAACTTATTTTGGGGGGGTTCTATCATACTTCTCATTAATAAAATAATTATAGCAAGATGAGTGTATCAAGTAAACTTCAGCAATTTTCAATCATACTAACATTGTTGCATTCTTTTTTCCTGTAAAGTCTTGTTTTTAGCTATAGTATAGGCACTGAGTAAGAAAGTTGTTGTTAAGATAATACTTTTAGTTTATTACATTTATTTATTGTTCTAAACTGTGAGGATGGAACACAAGGTGCAGGCATGTGTTACATACTGCCAAATCACTTGCTTATCAACAAATAGGATAATGCCTTTCTCCTGTTTATGTTCACTGTCTTATATTTTATTCTGTATTTTAATAGCCATTTCTTAATATTTATTAAACTAATATACTAATATTACTTATTTTTGCAGTATGCAATTTAAATCTATCCAAGTTTCTAGAAATAGAGGTTAAAATTATAGTTGTCTTAATTTCATCTAGTATACTGCAATTTCTATACAAAAATAGAAATTTCTAGTATATATGATCATTTATTGAGTATCTTTAACAAAATCTCCCTGCAAAGTAATATATTTCCAACACGTTTGAGCCTCATACTGTGAAAATTTATTTTAAAGGACCTTTTCTATATTTTGTCATCCAGACTATGATATTAAATCACATTTTTCCAATTGTGTTTTTAGGTTGTATTCAGTTGGAGGTCGTGATGGAAGTTCCTGTTTGAGTTCAATGGAATATTATGATCCTCATACAAATAAGTGGAACATGTGTGCTCCCATGTGTAAGAGGAGAGGGGGTGTCGGAGTGGCCACATGTGACGGTTTTCTTTATGCAGTAGGAGGTCATGATGCTCCTGCTTCAAATCACTGTTCCCGGCTACTGGATTATGTAGAAAGGTAAGACCCCAAGGACACTGTTACAGCGAAAGAGACAGTGCAAATCACATTGATGCCTGATTCAAGTGATTGGAAAAATTGCATTATTTAGGAAGGGTAAATTCAACACCTAGAGATACATTTTTAACTCCTTTCTCTCTCTCTCTCTCTCTCTCTCTCACACACACACACACACACACACACACGTACTTTCTTTTATTTTCTTATTCTTTTATTCCTTGCTTCCTCCCTTCAACTAATATTTATTTAAATCCCCACAATGTTTTTTCACAAGTCCTTAAATAATCTTTAAATTTCTTCTTGATATACTTTTAAAACACACATTAAAATGAAGTTTTGAGTGATTTATAAAAGTGAATATTTGTTAATGCTTTTAAAAATATTGGATATTTTGCTTCTGTGTTCTATTCTTCTGTTCTTGTTTGTTTTACTACCCTTTCAAACTCTCAAAGGTGAATTATCAAGTTCTTTTATGACATACCATTTTTAACATAAGACAGACTGATTGGAGCTATATTTTTAATAATTCTGGTGTAAGAAGGAAACATAGGTTCTCTTATAACTCTTTCTAAAATTGACCAGGTGCATAGAAGCTAGAGTGGGATGACACCTTGGCTTCAGGCCTAGGAATACTATGCAGAGACTTCTGGCACAGGTATCGCTGAGTTCTCTTTGGGCTGTGCGTTACTTAGAACTATTATATGGTATGTAGTAAGGACTGAAGAGTCCTTAGTAAGATCATGGTAATATTTCCTATTACATAGGATACATAATGATCCATGGGGAAATGAGGATAGGGAATATTTAGGTCAATTGGTTTATCAATTGGTATAAGTAACTCTACTCTAACAAATAACTTTAAAACTCTCAGTGGTTTAATACCATGATGCTTTTTTTCCTCATTCATGCTACATATCCATGATATTACCACTCTGGTACTCAAAATGAAAAAAAAACCTAGAATATTGATCATTGCTGGTCTCTATGTCAAAAGGAAAAAGCCAGAGAGTAGTAAATTTTTCACTGATCCTTAAAGATTTCAACTGCAAGTAATAGAATTCTCTTTTATTTGTACTACAATGATAAACCAGTAACATGGCCACAGAAAGCTTTTTGGGAGAGCAGTATCCCAACTTGTATCTGGGAGAAAAGCGAGATGTTTAGCTGATAGCACTGACAGCAGAAAAATTTTCCTTTTTATGTTAGGAAAACACAGTCTGTATCCTGATTGAGGCCTGTAAGTGGTATAGATGGTAGAAAAAGGATATTCTTTCCCATTTATGACATTTTTTTCTAAGGATGAGTAATTATTTTTACTGATAAGTCCATTGGCAAGAGATGGTTTTTGGTAAGCAGGCTGTGTTCAAATTGGATAAAACACAGAAACAATGTTTACCAATATTGCCACTCTGTGAAATGGACTGTAGCTTTATGGCTGTATACACATTGAGAAAGGCATTAAGTTCGCTGCATTTTCACTTTAAGATTTTCTAGTCCACGGAAATCAGGAACTACAGGTGTCACAATGAAGACAGTGGCCAGAGTCCTAATAAATAGGTTTATGCTTTTATACTCACAAATGTGCAATCATTTATTTTAAAAATGCTGCTAATAGACTGACAACTGACTCATTTACATTTTCTCTGCTAAATTCTTGAGTAAACGAAGAGAAGAGATGAATATGATGAGCCTCCTACTTTTACCTTGAATATCTTATATAAATGCTGCCAATGAAATGATATTTCATCCAAATATTCTCATCCAACTCGACTTTATAATGTATTGAAATGTTGTTTGTGAATAGAGGCATAAATAATTCAGTCTAGGAATACATTTATGTTGGAAAATTACATTTAAATAAGCATGGCTATTTTGAGTTATAGGAGTGCAGTGGATATGAGCAGCTTAAGTAATGCAGAAGCACACAGCAGTATCATGATTCTTATCCTAGCTCATACTACCCATCAGATTAATAGCACTTTTGCACTTTTTATAACATATTTTCTATATTGATGATTTCACATGTAACTCCTCAATAAATCAAGATATGCAACTGTGCCTCTGTGGAACCACTTTGCACATAGACTGTAAAAATGTTCTGTAGTATATAATCATAGGCAAACATCATTAGAAATAGCAAGAATAGTGTGCAATGCTATGTTTTGTAGAGAGATGGATAGATCACATTTTATTATATCACAAGGATTTCCTATAGAAATGTAAACTATTATATAATGGTGGTGTTAAATACAGTTATATAATGTTTATCAAAAATTGTTTGCACTCAGGCTGTCTTAAGCACAAATAATACTGGCACCTCAAATCAGAGAAGGTAGAAGGCAGGGACTGAATGAGAATGAGGACTTTAGAATAGTTTATGGAACAGATGAAAACTAATTTTCTGACTGAGCCTCACCCTAGTAAGAGCATCTTGGTGGAAAAATCAGTGTCCAAAATGTGCATTGAGTTTCAGGAGAAATTAGGTCCAGAAGATGTCATCTATTCGGCAAAGAACATTCATTCATTTACCTATTTAGTCAGCAACTATTGTTTTTCATGTATTTGGCACTATGCTATACAGAGCTTACAGTATTAGAAGAAAGAGACAAATAAATAAGTAAATCTTTAAGATACCAAACAAAATTGGAATCTAGGCAACAGATCAGAAAATATGCTCAAAGGCATCAGTCCCACTGCTGAGTAAAAATAGATCAGAACCACCTTTGCCCTCACATCTGCATCCCAGTAATGAGGGCTGGTGAAAGAAGGGTGTCAAGATAATAGGAACCTTCTATACCAGACTTTGTAATACCCACTTCTGCATCTTCTAATTCATTCTTCTTACAGTTGCCAGAGGGATCATTTCATATTGCAAATTTGACCAGAAAGAAAAATTGAGTTTTATTTCTCTGTACCAATTATTAACATTATAATTAAAACTCTTTCTACATCATTTTTTTTTTCACTAAACTAGGTGCCATGTGCTGATACTGCCCAAGATAGCTTTCCACCCATCTCTATATTCTTGTGCTTGGTACAATTTCTGGCACAGAATAGGCACATAACAAGAATGTATTGAATCAGTCAGACACTAAGAAAAATGAACCTCAATATTTCCACAAGGAAAACTTTCTTGAGATAAACTGTAAATAGGTTGTTATACAGACAAATGAATTGATAGAGAAATTATAGAAGATAAATGGATAGATAGATTGGTAAGAGCGGAAGGATGGGTGGATGTTGAGGTGGATTCATGGAAAGGCAAATGTAATCATTTGAGGTTTACTTTATGACCCAGAATATCATAAAATTTGGTAGAAATTTGTTTGGTATTGCAAATCCAGATTTGCATTTGCCTCATCTTGGCAGAGTATTATTTCCATATATTTTAAGAGGAAACTTTTGAGATAGATAGGGCCTCAAGAGGTAAGCAATTGTTCAAATACTAATTGAAAAGTATATCCTTATATCTTATCTAAATACTATTAACAAATGAGTATCAAAACAATTTTGATATATTATTGTGATGTGCTTCTTCTCCCTTCCCCTTCCTCCCCCAAACCTTTTCTCATTCGATATATTATTGCTGGAGTCAGCTGCATGAGTGCAGAGTCAAAGAACTAGCTAGTTTGTTGTTGTCATTGTTTTTCTGTTACTGTGCATTCATAATGTTTGCTATTGGTGAGCAATTATGCTCAAATTTTGGATAGACCATGTTAATATGAGGATTATATTAGTCCATTTTCACATTGCTATAAAGAACTGCCTTAGAGTGAGCCGAGATCGCGCCACTGCACTCCAGCCTGGGCAACAGAGCGAGATTCCGTCTCAAAAAAAAAAAAATAAATAATAAAACTGCCTTAGACTGGGTAATTTATAAAGAAAAGAGGTATAATTGACTCATAGCTCCACATGGCTGATGAGGCCTCAATCATGGGAGAAGGGGAAGCGGGCATGTCTTATATGGCAGCAGGCAAGGGAGTGCACGAAGGAGGAACTTGCCAAACAGTTATAAAACCACCAGATCTCATGGAAACTCACTCACTGTCACAAGAATAGCATGGGGGAAACCACCCCCATTATCCAATCACCCCCCACCAAGTTTCTCCCTCAGCACCTGGGGATTACAATTCAAAATGAAATTTGGGTGGGGACACAAAGCCTAACCATATCAAGGATTCTATGCTAACCTAAGTATTTAGGAGCCCTGCTTTCTAAGTAGATGCAGCAATCGTTAGCTGATACAATAGCTATACCAATTTAGTTATGTGATTTGCTATTTCCCTCAATGGCTTATGAGGAGCGACAGAGAAAGGAGGTGACAGAATAACCTGCTGTCCTTAGATATGCTGCCCAGAATTTTTCTGGCATCATGATAATTTATCTGCATGTTTTGAGGAAGAAGGATTCTGTGGAAATACAAATATGCACGAATAAATGAAACAAGCATTATTCTATATAGATAGAAGGATATCGGCCGGGTGCAGTGGCTCACACCTGTAATACTGGCACCTTTGGAGGCTGAGAACTGTGGATTGCTTGAGCTCAGGGGTTTAAGACCATCCTGGACAACAGAGCAAAATCCCATCTGTACTAGAAATACAAAAATTAGTGAGGTGTGGTGGCACATCCCTGGGGCCTCAGCTACTTGGGAGGCTGAGGTGGGAGGATCACTTGAGCCTGGGGAGGTTGAGGCTGCAGTGAGCCATCATTTGCCACTGCACTCCAGCCTGGGCAACAGAGTGAGACCCTGTCTCAAAAAATATATAAATAAATAAATAAAATAAAATAAAATAAAAATAATTTGGATTTATAGTGCTAATTATGGTTTTCTGTCATATTAGTAGAGGAAGTGATTATATAAATAATCTATTGTTCTTTAGTTTTGAACTGTTAAGCGTATCCAATTTTTAAAGTTTGTTTAAACTGGCATTCAGATTTCCTGGGTATAATCCATGTTCTGCTGACTGACAGTAGTTAAGATAATTTTTAAAGGTTTATTGTGACAACTGCATCTGAAAGGAGTCAAAGAGCTGTTTAGCTTTTTCTTGTTTTCTTTTTGTTCTGTCAACAACTCATTTCTCCTCTCCTCAACCTTGAAAAATTGATGTAATAAAATATGACGTAAGTCAAAATAGAACTTTCCATTCATCATTATACAGAAGTTGAAATCAAATTAACTTTAAAATTTTTTTTGCATTGAAAATGAACAACAGATATTGAGAAGGGAAGCAGAAATTTATTTTTTCCATCTTCCTTTCTGGATCATTCTATGCCCATTATATTTTTAAGGAGGGGATTTAAAAAGTTGGGAGAATATCAATAAGTATATCAAAAAAGACTACACATTTAAAATAGACATTAAGCACATCATCAGCATAAGAGCCTGAAACACCCTGAATATATTGAGGAGATTTTTTTCTAACATTGTGCTGACTGCTTTCTCCTCTGTCTTGGGGTTAAAATTAACAGTGAACTCAAAACTATTTCAAGGTTTTGTAATCATTTGAGGTTTACTCTATGACCCAGAATATTGTAAAATTTGGTAGAAATACCATGTGTACCAACAAATATTGTCTCTAAGGGTAACCATTATACCACTACCATTATTTATATGTTTTTTAGAAAGTTATATGTTATAAACTAAAATATGAAAAAAAAATATTCTCATTTCAAATATATTAGGATCTACCCTAAAACTTTAATTCTTAGAATTCTCTTAGGACAGAATCAGTTTGATAAAGCATGTATATAAATCCAATGTGAGTTTATCACATAAAGGCGCATTTGGTTTAATATTGAAAAGAGTAATAAATGTAACTTAATACAATGACAATTAAATGAATATCTGAATAAGTGAAAAAATGATAAAAGTCAATATCTAGTCATTATAAAAAATGCTCACCAAACTTGAAAAATAAATTAATGTTGTTAATTTGATAATGAGAATCTACAAAATATTCATAGTCAAATATTGAAATGTTTTGTGATTTTCATTAGAATGAGAAGAAAGAAATGACGGCTAATACCATTTTTATTAGACATGTTAACAGAACACCTAGCCAGTGTTAGGCATAAAAAGAAAGCAAATTGCCAACAATTGGAAAGGAATAAATAACAATGCCAGTATTCAAGATTATGTGATAAATATCGAATAATTTCATATGAATCAAACTAGAAACTGTTAGATTGAATTAATAAGATTGCTATATACTCAGTCAATATAAAAAAATTAATTGGGCTGGGCATGATGGGTTATGCCTTTAATTCCAGCTCTTTGGGAAGCCAAGTCAGGTGGATCACTTGAGCCCAGGAATTTGTGACCAGACTGGGTGACATAGTGAGATCTCATCTCACTAAAATTTAAAAACAATAATAATAAAAATAAAAAATTAGCTAGGCATGGTGGCACATGCCTGTAGTCCCAGCTACTCTGGAGGTTAAGGTGGAAGGTTTGCTTGAGCACCAGAGATTGTGGTGCTCAAGATCTCTTGATCTCTAGAGGTCGTGGTGAGCCAAGATTGCACCACTGTCTGGGTGACATACTGAGGCCTTGTCTCAAAAACAAATAAGCAAACAAACAAAACCCCCCCCCCAAAAAAAAAAAACAAAAAACAAACAAAATTTATAAATTTAATGCAGTCTTTTTAAAATTAAAATTGTTTCATGTAGTTTGATTGTGGTTGTGTGTATATTGGAAATATGATCCTAAAATTTAAATAAAAGTGAAAAGGGTCCTAAGTTCCAAGACAACCTTGAAAAACTATATATAAAGGCTTATTATTAAATTATTTTAACTAGACATTGTAGTAACAATACACTATAAATAAATAGACAAATGGAATAGATTTGTGTTCAGAAACAAAATCACACATATAAAGAATCTTGATTATGGCAAAGGAGAAACCAAAGAGGAGTGAGGAAAGGCCACCAGTATGACAAATGTGGCTGGGTGATTTGGATATCTCATGTGGAAAATTGTAGTCTTACCCTCTATTGCATATCACATTAAATATCAACTCACGCTGGATTTTAGATTTAAATATTACCCATAAAACAATAAAGCTGTTAGAATACAACACAGGAGATCGCCTTAAAAAAAAAAAAATGAGGTGTGAAAGACTTCTTAACCTGGACCTACATAGGATCATCTATAAAGAAAATATGACAGTAAAATGTCTTCAGAAGATACCATTTAGAGGGTAAAAAGTTGTTGGAGAGTGGGGAAACTATTTGCAATACATATACCAACAAAAGTGTTGTTTCCAATATATAGGCAAATTCTAGATATCATTTTTAAAAGAACAGAAAAACTAGGCAGAAGATTTGAACAAGAACTCTTCAAGAGGTGATATCCAAATAGGCAATGACTACTGGGAAAAAAAATGATTGGATGGCATTAGTCGTCAGGGAAATGCAAATTAAAATTACATTATTATACCATCACCTACCCACCAGAAAGTCTAAAATGAAAAAGCACATAATACACATAATACTGCATGTTGGAGAGAATGTAGAACAACTGACATGCTCATTACACTGATGGTAGGAGTGGAGTGTAAATTAACACAGCCTCTTTGTAATACCAATTGTCAACATTTACCACACTTCAAAGTATACACTCTCTTTGACCCAGAAATCCCATTGCTAATATCCTTTAGAAATGCATACGTACAAAAACATCTGAATGAAAATGTTTATTAGGAACATTATTACCGTTATGCAGTTATAAACAAATAATTTGTATTGAAATTAATTGTTTTATATTTTCAGAATATAAATAGTTTTTAAAGTCTAGGAACATTTCTTTTGATAATGTCATGAAACCTGGTAAATGTTGGTTTTCTTTACAGGAAAAAATAAAAGTATTTATTTTTAGCCAACACTATTGTCACTCTCGATTGCTCAATTCACATCTAATTTCTTAAAATTAATTAATATATAGATTTTGTGATTAATGTACTTGAAATCTATGTGCCATTCTTTTGAAGCAGGCTATCCATTCTCACAGCATGGACCTTCATTTATTTCTTTTTTTGTGTCTTTGGTTTTTAATTTGTTTTTGTTTGTTTGTTTTACAGGCAAACCTACTGGACTATAAATCACTTCTTTATTGTTTAATTGCTGTCTATCTAAATATCTCCTGTACAAACTTGGGAAAAGAAACATTCTCAATTCTATTTGTTAAGAAAGTAATGTTTTTATATTTAAAACAATTTTCCTCAAAAATGTTAAGGCCGATTATTATCCTTAAAGTATGAAAATGACACTAATGCTTGAAAAATTAATGGTTTCTTAAAAAATTCAATTTGGTTTTACAAAGAGAAATTAACTTTTATTCTGTGACTATCGTATGCCTTTAACACGTTTTCATTTTGTAGCTAATTTTAACCGCTATATACTGGCACTTCTTTTGCCTGAGGGCTATAAACCTTAATAGAGTCTCTGATACGGAGCTCACACTCTGACCAGGAAGGCCAAGGTAAGATGCAGGAAAGGCAGACAGCCTAAATACAGTAAGACCCCACACCCACCACCTTATTAAAAAAACAAACAAACAAACAAACAAACCTGGCAACTAGAGGCAAAAAATGGCTGCTTAGAATTCAAGTTTTTCAGAAACATAACCTGAAAATGACAGAGTTCACTATTAGTGAATGTTTGGACAATGCTTATACATCTGTAGATTGCTTATTTCATTTTGGGGATAATAACTTTGTATGTCCCATGCTGAGAGGTGAATCCCTGAGTTCCTGAATATAGAAAAATCAATTTAAAGTCATCATTTTGAGAACAAGAACAATGGCTACTGGGAGATTTTAAATCTGTGTGATCTCTTCTCTTCCTAAATATCTGAGTGTGTCTATGTCAGGTCACTCAGATTTTGTTTTGGTTTGGTTTTACTGGTAAAATGTAAATTTAAATATTATTAGCATTACCAGATATTAATTAAAAAGTAGTTATTACACATTTCAGATATGTTACCTACTACTGAAAACAGGCACATCTAATTCAAAGATTTGTATTTTCCAACAAACGCATTAAAATTGTAAAATTACTTTTTAGAAAATTTAAAATATATATGTATATATTTCTGATTGCAGGTTAGTATTTTTTAAATATGTATCAAAATGTAGGACAAATGAGTATTCTTAAAATTTCCCCTGCAACATTTGAGTTTCACTTGAAGAACTTAAACCTTTGGAAATTAGTTTATTATTGCTTAGCACACTAACGTTTGCTGTTTTCTCAGTTCTCATGACCTATTAAGTATATATATATACTTATATTTGCAACATGATATAAAAAAGTATATATTTGCAACATGATAAAGTCTGCTTTGCAGACAATATTTAACATAATTCTATAAAGCTGAATAATAATTAAATGAGGATAATATGAATTCAGAAAAACTGCTTGTGTGACAGGATGGTGACAAAATCCAGACTGTATTCTACATAAATTATTCACTTTAAAGTTATTTGTACTAGAAAAATTTTCTGCCAAACAAAAAGCAACTGATACAATTAACTCCCCTATAATCATTACCCTGCTTCAACAACGATCACAAATTTGTTCTTATTGTTTCATCCATTTTTCTGCCCTCTCTGTCCTTCCTTTTTTCCCTAAAGTTTTGTAGAGAAATTTCTGAACATGTTTTCAACCCAAAACATTATTGAATTATTCCAGAAACAAACAAAAATAATGACTTTATTTTTTAATGTAACTCAATGTTATTATTCTGCTAATAAAAACTTCAATAATTGCTTATTAAAAGGTAATGCTTGGGTTCTCACTGATATTCCAAAATGTCTCAAACATTTTTTAACAGTTGGTCTGTTTGAATTAGGATCCAAGTAAAGCCTACTCACTATATTTTGTTATATTTCTAACTCGCATTTAACTTAGTTACTTCTTCCTAATTATTTACTCTTTATCTTTTGCTATTGGTTATTAAATATTCAGTCAGTTACTTTATAAAATATTCCACATTCTGGATTGAACTATTTTCTCCCTTGTGGTATCTTTTATTTTCTGATGTTTAAAAATCTTTGCATATTTCAAAATGCTTGTGGAAAAGGTTTAAATATTTTTAAAGGAGATTTTGATGGCATAGGTTGTGTACTTGTGTTGGTGTGTGTGTCTATGTATGTCTGCATCTATCTGTGATGTTTTGTGTTTATTAACTACACAACTAAAAATTAAATTTTTATGTGCTGGGCAGCCTGTGTTTCAAGGTGATCCTGGTTTTCTAGCATTCGACCAGCGCCTCATTTTACACATCATCTTGGCAATGCACAAACCCCCCAACCACAGTGTGCAAATTCACATCACATTGTGGGTAATATGAATATTCTCTGTGAAATATAAATTCCAGATCTTCTGTAACAACCTTATTTATTTTCAGCAAAGTATAGGTATTTTTATTTCTTCATTTGTTTTAGGAGTCTATGAGTTAAAAATTGAATGGGTGAAAAAAATTGGAGCAGGAAAACAAACTAAGAATTTATTTGCTGTGTTTGTCAGAAAATCCTTTCTCACAGTTTTATTTTATATTCATTCTTCTGGGTTCTTACCACCCTTTTTGTTTTTGTATCTGAACCTGCAATTGTGGGCCAAAGGCAAAGGTACGGTTTCTTCATTCATTCAGAGTACATTCATTAAAGGAGTCTTCAGGGTTTTGCTACTCAAAATATAAAATATTTGTATGTAGTATATGGTTATCAAATTTTCTTGAAAATAAATTTTTTGTTTAAATTTAATAACAATAAGTTCAGTCTTCTGACTTTGATCTCTTGAATTACTAGTCTTTCCCTCACTGTGAATCCTGAGCAATGTCACTAAACCCAGTTGTGTTCATGTTATAATTATTTCTCCAAGTTTCAAAGGCTATTTTTCTATTGAATAAACTGAAAGTACCTTCCTACCCAGGGAATCAAACATCCCATAAGCTAATCAAAACTTACGTCTTGAGGCACACCATTTCCTCAGTCTTTCTTGAACTTAGTCACACTACTTAACTGTTTCCTCAAAGCGGACCATGCATTAAAACAAAAAACAAAACAAAACAACAACAACAACAAAACACTACAGTTATTTTTGCACAAATCTTTCCTTTTTTTTCCTAGCAAATTTAGGCTAGACTTTCAGAACTGGTTTAAAGGAAACTTCATCTGTCGAGTATTCCACAATGCTCCCAGATTTTTAACTATTTCTTCTGCTTCATTACCATAGGAGTCTGCATACATGTGTTTTAAATACCCTAATTCTACTGTGGATAATAGTTATTTATATATCTGACACTTTTTTGTAGAAAGACATCATGACATTATTTTTGTTGAATGAATCTGCATTCATCTATGAGTCTGAATACATTTTTAAAATACCTTAAAGTTTAGAAAGCTAGACATAATGGATGTTCATTCTAGAATACCTGCTCAAATGATTGAGCCTTTAGAGAAAAAAAAAGGTAGTTTCCTTTTTCATGACAGGCTTTGTAAAAAGTAAAATTTTTATAGTAAAAGTTGAATGTGATTAGAATATGTTATGTACTATTGTCATTGAATTTTAGATATGATCCCAAAACAGACACTTGGACCATGGTGGCTCCTTTGAGTATGCCCAGAGATGCTGTTGGGGTCTGTCTCCTTGGTGACAGATTATATGCTGTTGGTGGCTATGATGGACAGACATACCTCAACACTATGGAATCCTATGACCCACAAACTAATGAGTGGACACAGGTAAGATTGTCATCAGCATAATTCACTTCAAGGATAAGAATTTATTTCATTTACTTTCTGTGGAGGAGGGGTATACAAACAGTAATCTAGTCTAATTACCCTAAACCAAAAATGATTGTTTTTATCCAATATTGTGTTGATTTTGTAAAAAGTTCATTATACATTCTTGTGTACTTTTATTACTAAAATACCAATAAAATGTATATTAAAAAGTGACATACATACTTAATAAGATTTTCATTTTCCACAACAAGAAACAGAATCTGAATTTGAGTTACCTGAAGCAAAAAATAAAAGTGTAATATATTGGTTCACAAAACCTTAACTTATAATGTTTGGTTTTAGAAACAATATAAAGGCTGCAGAAATCAACCTTCCTGGCATTCATTTTTGTTACTGCTTATTAGGTCCATTTTTATCTGTTGCAGAGAGAATTTTTCACCTGGTGGTGCTGCTGGAAAGTCCAAGTAGTAATCCCCACAGCCATAAACAGAAACTAACCTTTTAAAAATCCCAGTTCAATTAAAAGAATAAACAGGAAAGGGCTTTGCATAGCCTGTCATGTAGTGAGTGCTCACTCCTTGTCAATCATTTTGTCCAGGAAGTTGGAGTAACATGACTGGTTTATCTTAGGTGAGGCATTATGCCTTACATACACACTGTAGTTAGAGACTCAGGATCATGCTAGAATGAAGCAGCTCCCATTGTAATCACATAACTAGAGGATGTGTGTTGGTGTGTGTGTGTGATGGGAAGATGAGGCCAGGGCAAACTAATTACAGTGAAAAACATCTTAGCTGCATAGCTACTGTGGCCTTGCTTATGATGGAGGGAATCGATACACTCTGACTTGTGTCCTTACATATTAGATTTCTCTTTACTTTCATTCTTCTCCAAATCTCTCAATATTTCTATTATTTCTCGCTTTTACCAGAAATCTAAAAGTAAGATACTGTTCAAATAAATAGTTTCCATCTAGGAGTGCAGTGCAGCTCTAAAGCTTTATTTAATTGAAGCAGAATAATAACCACATCT
Source organism: Homo sapiens (assembly GCF_000001405.40). Lineage (NCBI taxonomy): Eukaryota > Metazoa > Chordata > Mammalia > Primates > Hominidae > Homo > Homo sapiens. The sequence continues at coordinate 69,706,589 of NC_000013.11, read as the reverse complement.
CCTCATATTGCCTCAGTGGGTGGAAGGATCTGATTTTGGTCAAAGAAATTGACTACAATTTATCTAAAGAACTTGAACACCTGATTAAAGTACATTTGTTTTAAAGATATTTACTTTTAATGAAACATGATTTCCTTGATTTTGCAAGTTTTGATGGTATGCATTCAGCAACAATATTTTTTAGTCAGACTAACTTCGGAGTACAAAACCAAATTCCTAATGGCTAGACTAAGGTATCTGCATTATGAATTTCTTCTCCTCTAAAGGAAAACTCTTGACTTCACCAAAAATAGGTACATTTAGCCAAGTAAGTAAAAAGAAGGAGTAGAGAAAAGAAGGGGAAATATCAAGAGATCTAAGTCTTGTTATTTTCTACATTTTAATTGCTAGAGAAGAAGCATTTCTTATTCAGAGAGCACTGTATGTAAAAAAAAAATAAAAGCAAGTAATGATTGCTTTTCACATTATTGCACTAAAATTTCGAAGGATATATTTTGACTGTACCTTTCTGAGTCCCTAGTGTTTCCAAAGCAAACCCTGCATGCATTAATTAATGATTGCTGACTTGCTAAGGAAATGTACTAGTTAAATGGTGTGTATTTTAAATGTTCCACTTAAAAGAACATTAAATAAAGGAAGTTTATGTTTATATAAATGATGTAATATAATATCTGAATACATATTTATAATAAAGAGACATTATGCTTATCATCCTCTAAAATTGAAATCAAAACAATATATGTAGTAGGTAGTAATAGGTAAAAGACTCCTAAAGATCATTTTCCTTCATCTGTATTTTATTATACTTTTTTGGATCATATAGTATTTTACAAACAGCAAAGTGGCATTTAAAATATTTTATAACAACTTTATTTTAATACAGTAAACATTAAATTTAAAACTGTTAAGTTACTTTAAGATTTTGCTTCTGTATCTTCTCATTATTTATATTTTTAAGACTCTCAAGGGATGAGCAGCCAACCCACACAAAATCCCTTTAAAAATTTTCAGGATTCTAGCCTACTTGAAAAGTTTTCCATATTTGCTAAATTCCTGTCACTTTCACTCCATATGTCCTGTAAGTGGACTAAATTGGTTATTCCATATAATATTAGCAGCCACAAATGGCTGATTATTAAATAAGCAAACTATATTAAAATATCCAAATATGTGAATATTTGGAAAAAAACTCAGTTTAGCTTGAGTTGGAAATAGATTAGGAATCGATTAACAGTTTTGTGCTTTTGTTTTACAGAGAATGCATACACACACCATATGTATAGATACACGTGTGTATCTATGTATGTTTTAAATAAATTTGACTTTTGTCATTGAACACCGAGCTTATTTTTTGTGTTTGATTTGAAAAAAATAATGCACGTGCTTCAAGACATAAAGAGAACTTTATTCCATTTCTCCTAGCCTAAGTAAAATTGCCCTTTAATAATGTATTATCTTGGTATACTGCCATAGTACTATCATGCTGCATTCATCTACAGGTCATAAGGAATCAAAGACAATGTGTCATTTATTAACCTGTCTCTAAAGACTAGTATAGTTTCTGGCTGGGAGTAGGAGGTAATATGAATGTATCTCAAATAAATTGAGAACTATTGTGCAACTAAGTGTACTTTTTGTGTATGCATTTCATTTATTTGTAGACAATAGATATATAAGATATATTGATAATGATATATTGAGAATTTTGTTACAGAGAAGCCTGGTGAAATATCTACATTCAGCGTTACTTTTATTTCATTGGTTCTGTGGCCAACCTTTTTAGCTTATCATATTACTCATGCTGAAAGGTACAACCCCTGGAGGGAGAACAAAGGCAGATTTTTAAAAATGTATATTAAATAAATCTGGACCAAGAGAAAAGAAGGAAAACTTTTCTTAAACATTGAAAATGTACTTATGTGGAAAAATACCAAATGTTTAAAATAGCATGATTAATTATTTGGTAAGAGAATAGCACTATGATAGAACTTAAGTGCACTGGGCAGAGAAATCTTCTTTCAGGAAATATGTGGAATGAGGCCTGACAAATGAGTAATAGCTAACCAGATGAAAATATGTGGAGTGCTTTGGCTTAAGGAACATCATTGGTAAGAGCCAGAGGAAGAACACGTGGTATGTCTCACTGAGCAAGAAACAGAATTGTTAAGTTTTGAGAGATAGATGTGGTTTACATTATGTAACCTGAGCTATGTGGAAGACTGAATAAATGGATAGAATTAAACTTGTTGGAGAGATATTTAGAGGGCTTGCTGATTCAGATTTAGAGTTGAGTAAGGTAAAAAGAAGGGTCAAGGATTCTATCTTGAACAACTGGATGGAGAGGGGTGTCATTCACTGACATAAGAAACACAAGGGGAATATCACATTTTGTTTTTTGAAAAAACAGAAAGGATTCATTTTCACATGCACACATACACACATGCATCTATAGAGATAGAGGTATAAATGTAGATGAAGATATAAAGTTAAGCTACTCACTCTATATGTAGTCCAGTACACAGTACTGAGTATTGAATGGACATCAGGGAGCCTTTGGGAAAGTTGCCAAAAATACAATTACCCAATATAATCCCATTTCCATTTAGTGATAGGGCTTGTGAACATATACAGTCATGCGTTCCTTAAAAATGAAATACAATCTGAGAAATTCATCCTTAGGCAATTTCATCATTGTGCACGTATTACAAAGTATACTTAGACCAACCCAGATGGTATGGCCTACTACACACTGAGGCTGTATGATATAACCTATTGCTCCTAGGTTACAAAGCTATATAAGTATGTTACCGTAATGAGTATTCTAGGTAATTGCAACAGAATGGTGTTTGTTTGTGTATCGAACATATCTAAACATAGTAAAGGTACTGTAGAAATATGGTATAAAAGATAAAAAGTGGTACACACCTCTTTTATTTAACCTGAATGAAGCTTGCAGGACTAGAAATTGCCCTGGGTGAGTCAGTGACAGAGTCATGAGTGAAAATGAGGGGCTTGGACATTACTATATGCTACTGCAGACTTAAAAAACTCTCTACACTTAGGCTACACTAAACTTATTTTAAAATATTTTTCTTTCTTTAATAATAAATTAACCTTAGCTTACTGTAATTTTTTTTTTTACTTTTTAAACTCTTAAATTTTTAAAAACTTTTTGACTCTTTTATAGTAATAGTTACATTAAAGCACAAACACATTGTCCAGCTGTATAATTTTTTTTCTTTATATCCTTATTCTATGAGCTTTTTTCCATTTTCAAAAAAGCGGTACAACAGGTTTGTTTACACCAGTTTCACCACAGACATTTGAGTAATGCGTTGTGCTTTCATGTTAAGAGGGCTATGACATTACCAGACGATGGAATTTTTCAGCTCCATTATAATCTTATGGGACCACCATTGTATATGTGGTTCATCCATGACCTGAACCTCAAGGATGAAAATACAGCTATGCAGTGCATGACTGTATTTTGTAAATGCTTCTTAAATGACTCTGATGTGAGACAATCCATGAAAATCATCAGATAATAAAAGAAAGACCAGGGAAAGTACATGCATTTTGGAGTCAGGTAAACTTAGGTTTGCATACATTGATGCTGTGGGATTAACATATTGTCTCCTGATACTGTATTCACTCATCTCTCTCATGGAGATAACAGTACAAGATGTGATTACGAAGATAAGAGTGGTGACCTATAAAAATTATTCTTCACACAAATATGTCACGAATATATTCACATGCTCCTTCCCTACTCTCATTTTATGCAATAATTCTATGAGGAAGACAAGTGATGTTACATTAAATTAGCTTTTACAAATAATCCATTAAAAGAATAAAAAATAAATAGCATGTGGATTTTTTTAACCTACAGTGGATGATGGGTAACAATAAATACATTCAAAATAACTGGTAGAAAATGGAGGTAATTTTCATGTTTAGAGCATAAGAATATGTCCTTTTTCAATCAATAAGATAATGCATGTGATTTGAGGCTACTTTGTCTGCAGCTATTTTATTTCTTACATTTTATACACTTTCTTTTCACTCTGAAATAATATCATGTAATTTCTAGTCTACCCTGATATTCTTAGAAAACTGTAATAAAAATTATTGATATCAAAAAGCTCAAATTATCAAAATGTTGGCTTGTCTCCAAAGAATAAATTTTCATTACAAACTCTGTAAAAATTATTGTTTTTAATATATTTCTAACTATTTTCATATTCAGCATTATTAAAAAATACTCAGTTCTCATTTCAGTGATTGTCATAAGATGGAAAATTTTTAATAAGCATATAGCAATTATAATTATGGCCTATTTATGACAAAATATTGAATTTATTTCATTGTATGTCTCTGTCTAGAGTGAATGAATAACACATTAAATTCAATACAATATCTGGGGAAATAACTTCAAAATCATTGCAGTAAGTGTAATAGCTATTTCATCTAAAATATACTCCAAGCTATCACTATGAAATATTATCACAAATGTGTCCATGCAAACTCCAGAATAGAGCTTTGATGGAAACTTTTCTATAGCAGGTTAATTTCAATAAAAATCATTAAATGTTTTATTACTGTTTTTAAAACTCCATAAAAATTGTAGGCCTAAAAATTTTCAATATACAAATCATGGCTTTTTTAAAATGCCATTTTCAGTGTTTTCATTTTTACTGTACTACTTCTGGCTAAAATGGGAAAACAAGCACATTTATTTATGATTTTCATGTAGATAATCTTTTAAAATATAAGTTTTATATTTTTCTATGAAAACTTGTCTTAAGTTGTGTTTCATCTTTTTTAACAGATGGCTTCCTTGAATATTGGGAGAGCAGGTGCCTGTGTGGTAGTCATCAAGCAACCTTGACTTATTGATATTTTACTTGGAAAGATTTTACTTGCTGGAGTGGTTATTTTTATATTGAATGGCAAGAATGAGAACTTCCAGAGATGAAAACTCTTCAAGAACAAGGATCTCTGTAGCGTTACCTACTGATGTTGAAAGAGTTAGTAGATCAAACAGAATAGTAGGAAACAAGAAAACATTAAACTTATACAGGAAAAATGTCTGGCCATATGTTAGTTAGTTCGGGAATGGTTATTGGTAATTTGTTTTGTATTATAGCATACAATAACTAGAGTTACCAAAGGCTTGTTTTTTCTTGAGCAGTTGAAAGGAGAGACCAATATTTGTGACATGGATAGTTTCATGACCACAACTCATTCAATCATTTTATAGTCTATGGCAATATCCAAGAGATTGCCAAGAGTAGAAGACAGAATATTTCATCTGACAGTATCTGATTGGTTTACTGTTTTTCTAATCATATGTGGTCATAACGGGAAGCAGAATTATGCTTTATTCAAACAAACCTGCTTCTGCCTCATTTTCCTAAGCTATGAGAACAATTAGAGAAACAGATTCATGCTTGTATCTTGCATTCAGAAAACAAACTGTCCTACTAATCAAAGCTGCATATCTCATCAGAGATAATGGTTGAATTTTATTGCAACCATATTGGCAATCTGAAACTGGCAAACACAAAGGATTGTTTTCACTAGGCTTACCATTTTGCTTTGCTTTTTTAACACACTGAGCCAAAGATGCAGTGTAATTATTGGGCTTTTGCCTTATGTTGAGTTCAGTGTAAGCATGGAAGCTAGTGATTCTGAATGATATATATATCCATTGCATGTTGAACTCCTTTAGAATTTTGTTCTTAAACAAACTTAGAATTTCAAAAGAAAAACATATGATCCATTAAGTTGGAGTGTTTATGATTATTGCTAGAAAGAAGGCAGACTTCATATTCTCATCGCCCATTTTTCAAACTTGTTACATTGATCTGTACATTATTTTAAGCCACATGTTTGTAATTGTTTAAAACAAAGTGGAAACATTACACAATGTCCTTAATAAATAGGCCCATGTAAATTTTAATTACAATTAATAAATGATCAAAAAATTTGCATTTATCAGTGTATTTTTAATAAATTTTAAATCGAATGTAAGGATAAAGTCAACAAGGTATATACTTGCAGAGACAGGCAATTATATTGTCTGATTTTCAAATTTAAAGAAGTATGTATCTCCATAAAAACATAATACTATGCTGACACCAAATGTAATTTTAATTATTGTTTCTTCTGTATTCACCCACTTGAGACAGTTATCATTGGTGCCCAGAAAACACACATTGCTTAATAAGAGTGCTGAGACTACTGTAGCAGCTAGAAGAGGCAAGAAAACCTTCTTTTATTAAAAAAACAATGAAAACTATGGAATTGACTTTTATTGTTAGGTAGCCAAAAATATTTGAAATCTAACAACCAAGGAAAATATTAAGAAACAGTTTGTCTCAAGGAAACATTAGGAAATTTGAATTTTCTCAAAATGAACACATGGTCAAATGTATTAGACACAGTTTATTTCAGAAAATGATGCCATTATAGCTAAAAAATAATAGGGTAATATCAATGATTATTTTTACATTCTGGTGAAAAACGTGCAACATCAAATTTACAATCTTCAGGTATTTCCAAGTGTACATTCAGTAGTGTTAAGCATATTCACATTGTTGTGCAGCCAACTGATTTGCAAAACTGAACCTCTATACTCATTCAACAAGTCCCTTTCTTCCTCTCCCTCCAGCCCCTGGCAACCACATTCTACTTTTTGTTTCTACGAATTTGATTACTGTAGAGGCGATATGTAACTGGAATTATACAGTAATTTTTGTAACTACTATATTTTACTTCACATAATGCCTCCAAGTTAATCTATGTTGTAGTATATGACAGAATGTCCTGTTTTAAGGCTGAGCAAAATTGTATTGGCTGTGTATGCAATATTTTTTAATCCATTCATCTACGCATGGACACTGGTTGTTTTCACTTCTTTTGTGAATAATGCTGCTACAAATATTGATGTGCAAATATCTCTTCAAGATGCTGCTTTTAATCCTTTTAACCATATATAACAAAAGTGGAATTGCTGGGTCATGTGGTAATTGAAATTGTTTTTGGTTTTTTTCTTAGGAAGCACCATATTGTTTTCCATAGGGGCCACACCATTTAGCATGCCCACCAACTGTGTGCAGAATATCCTTGTCAACATATTTTTTTCTTTTCTGGAAGTAGTCTTCATAATGGGCATAAGATGATAGCTATTGCCTTGTGATTTTAATTTGCATTTCCCCAATCATTGCTTGCTGGCTATTTTTATATAATCTTTAGAGAAATGTCTATTCAAGTCCTTTGCCCATTTTTTAGTTTTTTATTTATTTCTTTCTTTTTATTCTTCTATTTTATTTTCCTAGGCTTTAGGGGAACAGGTGGTGTTTGGTTAATGGGTAAGCTCTTTAGTGGTGATTTGTTAGATTTTGGTGCACTCATCACCGGAGTGGTATACACTGTACCCAATTTGTAGTCTTTTATCCCTCACCCACCTCCCATCCTTTTTCCCAAGTCCCCAAAGTCCATTGTATCATTCATATGCCTTTGTATCCTCATAGCTTAACTCCCACTTATGAGTGAGAACACACAATATTTGGTTTCCCATTAACGAATTACTTCACTTTTAGAATAATAATGGTCTCCAATTCCATCCAGATTGCTGCAAATGATATTATTTCATTCCTTTTTATGGCTGAATAGTATTCCATTGTGTGTGTGTATGTGTGTTTGTGTATATATATATATATATATATATATATCTCATATATAGTATTCCATTGTGTATGTGTGTATATATATACACACATTCCATTATACATACACACACACACATGCAATGGAATACTATATATGATATATATATATATATATATATATATATATATATATATATATATCTCACAATTTTTTATCCACTAATTGATGGATGAGCATTTGGGCTGGTTTCATATTTTTGCAATTGCTAATTGTGCTGCTATAAACATGTGTGCAAGTATCTTTTTTGTATAATGACTTCTTTTCCTCTGAGTAAATACCCAGTACTGAGATTGCCGGATCAAATAGTAGTTCTACTTTTAGTTCTTTAAGAAATATCCACACTGTTCTCCATAGTAGTTGTACTAGTTGAAATTCCTACCAGCAGTGTAAAAGTGTTCCCTTTTTACAGTATCCCTGCCAACATCTATTATTTTTTAATTTTTTTATTATTAATAAAAAATCAGGTTTTTTTTTGTTTTTTTTTTTTTTTTGAGACAGAGTCTCGCTCTGTCGCCCAGGCGGGACTGCGGACTGCAGTGGCGCAATCTCGGCTCACTGCAAGCTCCGCTTCCCGGGTTCACGCCATTCTCCTGCCTCAGCCTCCCGAGTAGCTGGGACTACAGGCGCCCGCCACCACACCCGGCTAATTTTTTTTGTATTTTTAGTAGAGACGGGGTTTCACCTTGTTAGCCAGGATGGTCTCGATCTCCTGACCTCATGATCCACCCGCCTCGGCCTCCCAAAGTGCTGGGATTACAGGCGTGAGCCACCGCGCCCGGCCAAAAAATCAGTTTTTATTAATTTTTTTTCTATCATCATTTTTAGTTTTTTTATTATGGCCATTCTTTCAGGAGTAAGGTAGTTTTGATTTGCATTTCCCTGATCATTAGTGATGTTGAGCATTTTTTCATGTTTGTTGGCCATTTGTATATGTCCTTTTGAGACTGTCTATTCATGTCCTTTACCCATTTTTTGATGGGATCATTCATTTTTTTCTTGCTAATTTGTTTGAGTTCCTTGTAGATTCTGGATTTTAGTCCATTGTCAGATGTATAGATTGTGAAGATTTTCTCCCCTTCTGTGAGTTGTCTGTTTACTCCGCTCCTTGTTTCTTTAGCTGTGCATAAACTTTTTAGTTTAATTAAGTCCCACCTATTTATCATAGTTTTTGCTGCATTTGCAAGTCAATAAATATGATACACCACATAAACAGAATTAAAAACAAAAAATCACATAATCATCTCAATAGATGCAGAAAAAGCTTTTGAAACAATTCAGCATCCCTTTATGATTAAAACCCTCAGCAAAATCAGCATAGAAGGGACATACATTCTCGTGTGTTAGTATTACTTGGTGCATCCTAAATGAAGATTGTACTCATGAGTTCTTAATTTAAATATAGTATATGATTTGTGTATTTTAAGACCTATATTTATGACATAATATTTTTCCTAAGCTCAATGTAATTGTGAAAAATCTAATTTTACCTTACTGATTTCCCATCTTTATTTTGTAAATTTTTCTCCCTATACTCAGATATAGTTTTAGAGATGGCTAATATAATGATATGATTTAATGAATAGTGTAAACTATTAACAATTATCCATCAAAAACAAACAAAAAACTAAACTATCAAAAACTTTTCAAAATGAAATTAAAACATTTCTTTTAATTTAAAATTTAGATAAAAGGTGATAACTTAGTTTTCACCTGAAAATATGGAAACATTATAAATGAAATAAAAATTTTATAACATTTTATAAGATGAACAAAGCAACTGAATAAATTTATTCATTCCATTGATACTCTACAATAACGTGTTCAAAATAGTACTGATGTCATTTAACTATTACAGGCATTAAAAATCATTATTTAAAAACTTAAAATATTTTTTAAATAAAGAAATTTAAAAGATAACATTTTATAGAATAAACAATCAACTAAGTAAATTTATGTATATCATTATATTCTACAAACTGTCATGTGATCAGAACAGTACTGATAACGTTTTAGTATTGTAGACATTTAAAAAATTTAAATCTTAAAATTCCTATTTATTTTAAAGAGTCTACTTTTCTCATCTATTCAACTTGTAATTAAAACATCTAGTTAACAGTGATAAAAAATAGTAAATTTATATCAATTAAAATATGTTGCATTTTTTTATGATTACAGATATGCAGTACACCGACTGGTATCACGTAGCCATAATTAAGTGCACCTTTGTTTTAGTACATTATATTTTATAGGATCTTGGCCTCTTCTGGTTGGTTCTGACAGCATCGGCTTGCATCCCTTTGCACTCTCCTCCCAGTGTACACTATCTATTCTACTCACATATTTTCTCCAACAGACAGAGCATATAGATAATATTAGCACTCTGAAATGGATAAATTAATTTTCAAATTTTAAAGAATAGAGGAAAAGATAAGTTGATCTATGTCTGTTTAAAAAAAAACAGTAAAATTTTGTAGTGGTCATATTCAAAAAGTTAACATTAACATTTTTATAAATGGTTTTATTTTCCTGAGAATTTCTCCAAACTAATTTGCTATATTCAATCATTTTTTGTATACAGATTATATTAGCCAAATTCTGCTTATATTGCATGCAGTAATTGTGTATATCAAATTTATCATATGGAGACTATGAGGAGTAGTTTGAATAATGAATTCAGAGCCATTATGAAGTGTTTTTCTAGGACAAAATAAACTAAACTAAAATTTAACAACATTTTTAATACATTAATTGTAAATGTTTTAAAAACCAATGTGATGTATCAGTGTGGAATTCACTATTTTACTTCCTGATAAATTTAAAGGAATTTCATCAAAATTGACATAATATAATTAATAATGACATTTATCATATTCCCCTCTCTGTCTCTCATGTATTGTTTAACTTACATTGTTAGTGAGGAATGTGAAATATATGTAATCAAATACTTTAGTTAACTAAGAGTTAGTGGGTGTGCCAATACTGAAATTTCAGTACTACAAGATGTTAATTTAATTAATGTGCCAGTAATTAAATTAACGTTTTATAAAGAACTATAGATATAGAATGTGAAAGCTATTGTCTTTTAATAGCTTATATAAAGTTATATGTGTGAACATGATTTCCCACCTTAGTAAATCTCTGATCCCAGTGTGTGTGCCTGTGTTTTTCATGAATACATGTAAAAAAAAAAAAATCTAGTTTTAACTATTCTGATAGTATTCTAAATAAAAAGGTATTTTATTTATAAATACATTAAAGATAGTTTCAAAAGAAAACTATATATGTAAATAATTATAAGTCACTCTTCTTCCTCTCTTCATTTACCCAGAGTTCAAAAATTAAGAATTGTGTTTGATATAAAAAATACAGTTTAATTTTGAAATGCTTATTAATGGATAATAGATAATAAGTCCTATCATCTACAAAAGTCAATTGACAATTTTTTAAAGGCAATCCATGGTAGACTTTATTATACTTTGAACACAAACATTTAATTAATTCAGGCACTATGCATATACTTTTTTTTTTTTTTTTTGAGACAGAGTCTCGCTCTGTCACCCAGGCTGGAGTGCAGTGGTGAGATCTCAGCTCAGTGCAAGCTCTGCCTCCCAGGTTCACGCCATTCTCCTGCCTCAGCCTCCCTAGTAGCTGGGATTACAGGCGCCTGCCGCCACACCCAGCTAATTTTGTTTTTGTATTTTTAGTAGAGACGGGGTTTCACCATGTTAGCCAGGATGGTCTCTATCTCCTGACCTCATGATCTGCCCGCCTTGGCCTCCTAAAGTGCTGAGATTACAGGCGTGAGCCACCGTGCCCAGCCTATGCATATACTTTTAATGAGATTACTCTGGAAAACAAATTGAGAATTTGAAATGTGTATTCTAAAAGCATTTCTGGCTAATTCTGATTTCAGCATTACTTCATTGTATCAAATGCTGTGGTCATAAATGACAGTTCAATGGCTACAGTATATGGAATAGTTTTAGTTTGACTAAGTCACTGTTATATTTTTAGGATTATTGTGAATTATGCAAATAATAATATTTTATTTTTGCCTTAATCATTAGGAAAGTTCTCCCCAAATTTAGGTCCTATACCACTGTTATGAATTGAATGTTCATGTCTTTCCAAATTCATATGTTGAAGCCTTAAATGTCACCATGGCTGCATTTGGAGCTGGGCACTATAAGGACATAATTTTTATTAAAAGAGATCATAACTAAAGGCCCTAACCTAATGGAATTAGAGTCATTTTTAGAAGAGACACCAGAGGGCTTGTTTCCTTTCTCTCTGCTGGCATGCACTAAGAAGAAAGGCCATGTGAAGACAAAGTGGACATCTACAAGGCAGGAAGAGAACCCTCACCAGAAATTCAACCCTGCAGGACCTTGATCTTGGATATCCAGCCTCCAGAACTGTGGGAAATAAATTTCTGTTGTTTAAGCCGCCCAGCCTGTGATATTTTGTTACAGCAGGCCCAGCAGACTGATACATCCACAAAATGTTCAGAACCTTCATAATACTTTTCGAACATGCTAATGAAAATTTCATTGCTTCATTCTCACTACCCTGGTTTTTCCTCTGCACTTATTCTCTGAAGTCTAAAGAGAATAATGCATAATTAGTATTTAAACTCAATTGAATACATTACTAATGAAAACAATTCTTAAATTGTATCGTAAGCCATAGAGAAATATACATAGTTTCCAAGAACAACCCCAGAAGTAAAACAAAACAATAAATAAAAATCTGGGCTATCAAGTGAAATTATCTCATAAACAAATGTAATTATAATATTAATATAAGAACATTTAAACAATACAAAACAGAAAAAACAACTCAACTACCTTGTAATGATTATTACAAATCTTTGGTTTTGTTTATCTTTTCATTGTGCCCAGGGAATATAAAACTTTTGACAGGCAGCCTATCTGCCTTCCTAGTAGTTGTGTTTCCATTCCACAAAATAGTATCCTGAGAAAGTTGTGCAGACTAAATGGCTGAGTCAATATGTCTTTGACAAATTAACTAGATTTAAAAATACATATGAGATTTCAAACGACAAATAAATAGCTTCAATTTTAAGAGTACACCATCCTTGTAGCTTAAAAAATATATTTTTTTATCCTGAGCTTTTATGGCACATTTAAACAATAAAATAAAAAATAAAATTTTAATAAAGGATACAAAAAAGTATAAGTGGTCTATGCAAATTCATCAGCAATTACTGTATAAAAATTACATGCAAAGGATCAATGAAAACAGGATGCATATATTTAGTATACTGTCAATGTGATATCACAAATATGGAGAGAAAAGTAAGTTTTGTTGGAATAAACTCTTAAATCTTCCAAAGGAATTAAAATGTGAATATAAGAACATAACTTGTACTAATAAGAAAAGGAAAAGTGTATTTTAGAAATCACAAAGGAAAACTCAACAAACTGTACTGCACAAAAATATAAATTTCCAAAAATAGGCAAATAAGAAACTGACAAAAAGACGTTTATTAAAAAAAGAGTCGTGATTCTTTATATATAATGAGGCTAGATGACAATAGAACATATTACTTGGGTTTGAATTTATTATCGTATTAATCTCCTTATTCAGACTTAGTTTAAATACAAGCTTAGTGCCTAATTGCAAAATTTATAAGAACCTACAAGCCTTGATTTCCTTATCTGTTAAATTTAGGAGTTTTTATTTAAGAAAGGTGATGCCCCCTTAAAATTTAACTCAGTAGTAGATAACATTTGCCCTGAAATTTGAAAAGGAAACAAAACTAAAATCTATTTATAAGTAGGCAAATTATGTAAACAGACTTTTTAAAATAATAGTGTCCAAAATATAAAACATTTAATCTCACTAACTGTAAAAATATAAAGTTTACTAACAAAAATAATAGATAAAGCTTTACTCAATTACAAGACAGGTAACCTGTGATGGCAATTGTACATTGAGAAAGTTACACTTATTGTTTATTAATTGTGACATAAATTATAAAACTTTCCCAGTAAGAAATTAATCCCTAAGTGTTAAATACCTTTAAAAAGACCATTCCATCTTTATTAACAAATTAATTTCATATGCCTATGTTTTATCTCAGGAGACTGCTTTGGATTTTATCCTACAGATAATGACAGCAACATTTCTTAGATCTCTGAACTTCCTTAATCCCTTTTCTCCACCTTAGTTTCTACGACCTTACCCCTACTGCATTATAGGTAGATTCTGTCACTGCCATTTCAGTGGAGACTCCCTGCATCATTGTCTCTTTGATGCTATTTACTCACTCCCTCTTTAATATATGCCAATATGTGGCCTCTTTAATATATGCTAAGTTTCTACTTGACCTCAAAGTTCTATCAATTTATATGGGATAAGCTGATTTTATCTGTCTACCTACCTATCATCTATCTACTGAAAAACATTGTTTTGCAAGACCCAGATCACACCAACCCAGCCCAATCTAGATGTTACCATATCTTCCTTGAAATTTTTGCGAATTTTCAGAGGGTTTATGCCTTTAAGGACATTTTGGATTTAAGTTTCTCCTTTCATTGAATTAGTCCTAAGGGTGCAGAAGTCAATAAGCCAAAGAAGTCTCTGACAATAACTTTTTGATTTTACTGTCATTTAGAGGGATAATAAATGAATTTCAGAAGAGTATTTTCCCAGACCAGGAGTGTCTAGGGAAAAATCTCTCTTCACATTACTAGGAACACACAAAAGATGTATTCTATTAACATCATTTTAAGGATTCAGACATAACATCCACAAAATTAAGCCAGATGCCACTGACATGTGTTTCCATAGTATCCTGGAAATGATTTTTCCAACATTATTGATGTGTGATGTAATCATACATGTATTAGCTTGTCTTCTCTTACATCTGTGAGCCTCTTGGGTATAGGCAATGTGTGCTGTGCACAGTGCCTGGTACGTATAGGACTCAATATCCGTTCTGAATAAATAAAATAAATGAAAATACATTTTCATAATTTATTTTTATATATTCTGAATATATAGATATTTTATATTTTTCCAAGTATGATAATATGGAATTGTCAATAATTTTTTCAATTACCAAAAGCCATAAGTTAATATAAAATGATAAATTTAAAATGCTCCAACTATATCCATGTACATGATCTGTGAATGTAGTTTGAATTAATATCTGTGTATATGTGAAGTATCTAATTATCGTGCCTATCAAATTCTAGAAACATACAGCAAAATATACATACAAAATTTGGCTAATCTCAAGATATTAGTTTTACAAATGAAGCAGCTGTACTTCATAAGATGGCACAATTTTAGGCCTTTTGAAATTATCTCATAGCCTTTTGAAATTATCTCAAAGAGTAATAGTGGAATATTTATAAGGGAAAGTTATATCTTTGTAGGAGACAAATTAATAAAATTCATAGACTATTATTTTAATTCTCAAAGTCATCTCCTAACCAAGAAATTCTCTCTACAAAGTTAGTTGATAACTCTATTATTGAATGAGATTTAACTAGAATGGGATGCACATCACAGGCAATCACTAAGACACTACGAAAACCAGAAAGAAATCTAGCCACTGTATCTAGTCAAGCAAGAGGACTTGATAACACCATTTGTAACACATAATTCATTCTAGCTTTATCTGGTAGTTGGAGTGACCATCTGTGTTAGCTAATTAGCTTTACCCACAAGAAAAGCAAATTTTTCAAAACTTTACGACAGCCAGTAATTTGGCAATTTGAAGCAATGTGCTAAGGGAAGTTAGTCTCCTAACCTCCCATAGAAACTGGGAACTAGGGATGCTCTCTTCCTTATGTCTTACATTTCAAAGGAACGGCTCACAGGTCTTTGAGAGAGACATCCTTACATTACAAAACTCACCAAAGGCCTATTTAGATTTTGAAAGGATTTTTATATATTTCAATGAGAGGAAAATTACTTAGAATTTGACATTTTTCAAAAGTAAAAACTCTGAGAAAACGGAGGGGACAGAACATTTTGTCTCTTATTCTTAACAGGGAGAATTAAGCCTCTGATTTTTAATTTGTATTTCTTCTTACAATTGACATTACTCTATTTTTCCAGTTGTTTCTCTATGAAAGCTTTGGGACATTTGCTCTTTTTCTGTATCTGGCTCTACTAAGGCCACCGTAAGACAAAAATCTAGGTTGGGGGTTTGCAATATAGGGGCACAGGTAAAATCCTGGTGCATGTTATCTTACCTATGAGCTAAGAATGGGTATTCACCTCTTTAATAGTTGACAAAAATATCAAAAGAAAGATATTTTATGACATATGAAAATTGTTTGAAACTCAAATTTCTATGCCTGCAAAGTATTATTTAAGCACAGTCATTCCAACTCCTTTACATTGCATTGGCTGTGGTTACTTTTGAGCTACACTAGCAGAATTGAAGAATTGCAGAAGAGACCACCATGGCCCACAAAGTCAAAAATATTTACTGTCTGGCCCTTTACAGAGAAAGTTTCCTAACATCCAGACTAGGTCCTTACTAACCAAAGTCCTAGGAGCTTATTAGAAATGCTGTATCTGAGGGCCCAATCAGAGCTACTAAATGAGATCTTGTTTTTTTAACAGATACCCTAATGTGGCTTATTAAACTTTGTGAAACACCAATTTCAGTAATTATTTCTCTGCAAACTCTATTTAGTTTCTGGTTTTCTCAATGAAAGCATCAAATGAAGAGTTGGCAACCTTGCTTAGCTCTCTCATGTAATTTATGCACCTCAGTGTCAGCTCCATCAGGAATAAGATTAATGTTTTAGTTCTCAACTGCTTTTTCCTTTTTTATTTTTTAATTGGTTCTGAAAATAGATGGGGAAGAAGAGGACTGCTTGGATTTCTCCCAAGCCCCAGCAGAGAAATAGTAATTAGCTAGGTAAAATGGGATATATGATAAGCAGAAAGTTACAGCTACAAAAAGCTACAATTTTTAAAAAGGAAGATGTGAGAAAAAGTAGATTTTATATTCTTCCTACACCCATTGTTTTACTGTCTCTTTTAGCCCACTGAGACTGGAGACAACAGAAGTAGGTTTGGTCTCACAGTCAAATCTCTTAACTTTTATCAATCAGCGCCTCTCACCAACTTCAGTTATTGAGATAGTAAGTTCAGTTTATGTGAGAATTAAAACCCAGCTTGCTTAGAGGGGTAAACCTATTTTACTGCCTAGTGACGAACTTGTGTTTTCGAAATCTGAAAGGTTTAGGATTGATATATAGATGATGAAGTACATCAAACTCATAGCGACAACAATTTGGTACCAAACTGAGGGATTATATTTAAAATGGTTATATCAACAGATTGTGATGTTAGAAGTTCAATCAAAATTGACCTGAAATTCTAATTT
The DNA here is from genome assembly GCF_000001405.40 of Homo sapiens. NCBI lineage: Eukaryota > Metazoa > Chordata > Mammalia > Primates > Hominidae > Homo > Homo sapiens. The sequence goes on along the minus strand of NC_000013.11, from coordinate 69,689,476 downwards.
AGAAAGTAATTTTAAATTTAAAATTGTATGCAGTAAAGTTAAAAATGGCAACATTTATAAATAATTTTGAATATTACAAACTGACCATTTAATATATAATTTTAATATGTTGTAGTTTTAGAGTTGACTAATGTTTTGAAGTTTCTGTCTTAGGATAAGTACTTCAAAAGCTTAAAATGAATTAAGTTGTATTTATGAATGTAGATTAAAAGGTTTCAAGGAGTTAAAATAAGCTGTAAATGAGAATTTTTAAGGAATTTTAATGTACTTAAATTTACATAAGCACATATTAATCAAGGTTTCCCTAAAACAGATTATCTATATTTCCTAGATTTATAATTAAAGCACTAAGACTTTCAAAGTTATATTTGCAAACTTAGGAAAAATATTATTTGTTGATATAAGTAGTTTAAAAGTTGATTTTTATTCTATGAAAAAAACACTAATACTCTTTTTTCTCAAGCACATAACACACCCACTCAAAAATATAAAATATATTTGATATTTGTAAATTATTCTTATATGTATTATTAATTCATTATTATCTCCCTATTTAAAATACTGTTTTTTTTTTCAGAGATACACTCTACCTTTTGTAGAACTAAAAACAGAATTTTATGGTATATATCTGTCAATCTATTTTTCTAATATAATTGTGAGAAAAATGCTTCATATTAGCTTAAACTATTATGCTTATTTTTGGATACCAGATTACTTATAGTAAAATATATAATATATTTAATTGTATATAAAATTGCTACATTAATTATAACTTGATATTTTTGCAAAAACTAGTATATTTCTACTCTATCACATTGTTCCCCAATTTAGGACAGATATAAGATAGCTAAACATAAATTTGAATGTCAATTTCTGCTTAGTTGTAATTTAGAAAGTTGAGCTTAGACTGTTTACAATTTTTACAAGTCATATCCCATACTTTCCATGCACACAGATACAAATGATGTTCTTTTAAAAATATGTTTGAATACCTATATTTTTTCAAATGTTCGAAAACCTTTTCCTTTTCCTCACTTCTAATACCAGATATAAGTGATATGTAATAATTAGATTATATTAATGACATACTTAGACAATGCGTGTAAAAGATCCTCATCAGGAATTCACTTTTAATTTAAATATTTGAAGAAGGAAATTACATGAAAGCTAATTTGATGTTAGTTTAAAAAATTGAGTTCCTAAAGGACTCTAGAAAACAGTCCATGAAGTGTAACATTCAGGAGAATAAATTGCCTGTCCAAGTACTGCTTTGATTGATTTTTACTCTGATCTTCTTACCAAATTACATTTGCAAAAGTAACCATGGAGACGAAAACCATGACTGTTGAATTGACCTAACAAAACAATGCCAAATAATGTAGTAAAAGAAAAGCTAAGGTGATTTCAGAGTCAAAGAGGTGTCATATTTTAACATCTAAATATGTGATATGATGTTAATTTTTCTAAAACCTAGGAAGTTAACAGCCCATAAGTATTATGAGGAAGCATAGAAACAGATGAGTAGATTTAGAGGTCAACAAAATGTTTCTGTTTTGGTGGTTAGTCTTTAATTTCCTATGTGTTTCCTGTTTAGCAGTTTAGCTTATATAACTACATGTCTTTAATAAATGCTTCACATTCTTAGATGTACATTTACAGTCTGAATTAATTGTATCTCTGGCTATAAAAGATATTAGTAATAGAAAAACTTCATTAGTCTAATGCTACTATTCATATATTATGCTATTAATTTAAACAGAATATCTATCATAACAATTCAGAAATTTTCAGGAAAAAATTGGCTTTGAAATTGGATAAGCATGTAGAAATTACAGAGCCATATTAAAATGAATAACTAATTCTGTATTATTTACAGAATAAAGATAAATATAATATATTCATAATGCAACATATTTATCTGGCAAATATTTATTGAATTCCTTCTGTAATGCCAGGAATCCAAATCAGTGTTGAAGGCATCGTCTTAAATACATCATTCTTTACATCAAGGTTAACAGTGAGAAGGAAAACATATGTAGGTAAGAATTTCTGTAGCTTGTGTAAGTTCTATGATGGATTTAAGTGCCAGATATAAAAGAGGTTGATGAGGGAACATCAAATTACTTTGGGAGATAAAGACAAATTTACTAAGGAAAGTCTCATTTATAAGAATAGAAAGGCTTGGAGGAGACATCTGAGGTAGGTTGGAGAAAGAAATAAAAAGCAATTACATATATTTTTCTCTAAGCAACTTCCCCCTCTCCTCTGCAAGCCTACCACCACTAACCCTTGGTAAGAGGAAGGTATTTCTGCTAGTTCCTTTCTTCAGAAGCTCAGAAATAAATCCCAAATTGTTTTCTAATGAAGTGCTCTGTGAGGTTTAATTTTATGTACAAACATGAACGAATCAAAGGATGCTCAGGTAGCTAGTAAAACATTATTTCCGAGTGTGTTTGTGGCAGTGTTTCTGAAAGAGATTAGCATTTGAGTCTGCAGGCTGAGTAAAGAGTAAAGGAGATTGCCCTCACCAACATAGGTGGCCATCATCAAATCCACTGAGGTCTTGAATAGAACAAAAAGGCAGAGAAAGAGCAAATTTGCTTTCTCTGCTTAAGCTGAGACATCCATTATCTCTTGACCTTAAACACTGGCTTTCTTGGTTCTTGCGCCTTCAGGCTTTGATTGGGACTTATACCACAGATTCCTCTGGCTCTCCAGATTGAAGATGGCTGATCAAGGGATTTTAGGCCTCCATAATTAAGTGAGCTAATTCATAAAACAAAGCTCCCATATATATGATACATATGAATCAATGAAATATATATATATAATCTCTCTCTATATAATATATATAATCTCTCTATATATAATAATATATATATAATAATATATATATAATATATAATAATATATAATATATATTATATATAATCATATATTATATATAGATTATATATAGATTATATATAGATTATATATATAATATATAATATATATTACATTATATATTATCTATATATTTTCTATATATATCATTATCTATATATTATCTATATATAGATATCTATAGATCTATATATAGATATATAGATTATATATAGATAGAGATTATATATAGATATATAGATTATATATATATTTATATATATATAGATTATATTAAAGAGATTATATATAAAATGCCAGTGAAGAAATTCCCAAAATATCTTCTGGGAATATATATGTGTGTGTGTATGTATATATGTGTGTGTGTATGTATATATGTGTGTGTGTGTATATATACACACACACACATATATACATACACACACACATATATACATACACACACACATATATATACACACACACACACACACACACACACACACATGTTCTGTTTAGAAAACTGGATATATCTATAAGCAGAACCTGGTTCTGTTTCTCTGGAGAACTCTGATTAATACAGCCTAGGAAATGCAAACCATTTAATGTCATTGAATTTATGTTAACTGTATTAAGTAGCTTATCTTTGGAAAAATTTAGGGTACCTTTTTTCTGTAAGTCTTTCAGAAAAAGAAACAATATATGCATCAATTAACCTACTTTTATTTTCTTTGGAACTATAAATTGTGGATCAAAATTCAAATAGTAGTAATTACTGGATGAACTACCGGCCAGTTTATATTTTTCTTTCATTTGTAGCAAGTTCAATAATACATTTCAACAAAACATTTTCTTATATATTCAGGAGTTTTTCTTAGTAGCTAAAAATTATAATTTGAATTCAGATCACACAAAGAATATACTAAAAGAAAAGCTAAGGTGATTCCACAGTAAAAGAAGTATCATGTTTTAACATATAAATATGTAATGTGATGCTAATTTTTCCAAAACCTAAGACATCAACATCCCCTATTATGTGAACCTTGTGTCTAGGTTCTGCCTTTTTCCAGACATAGAACTTTAGAAACCTTATTTGTTTCTGAGTTTCCTAAACTATAATTATATTGAGAGGTTTAATTGTCAAAATCATCTGTGAATACATTGATAGGGTTAATTGTAAAAAATATTTAAATGGCTTAGCCCTTCAGTGTTTCAGGAAACAACACCCCCAAATAAAGGCCTCAGAAGCAGCTCTCTCTGACCTTCTCCTGCCCTCCTGTCTGGCCTCTCATTCTCCTGCTGGGCTCACCAAGGTAACTAGAATCCCTCTTGTCCAAGACAGATCATAGAAATCAGAACCCCTTTCCTCTAAAGCCAGTCATTAAATATGATCTTTACTTTCCCCCACCTTTCTATGTAAAAATTGGCCGTAAATAAATTATCTCATCAGGTGTGGTGGCTCAGGTCTGTAATCCCAGTATGTTGGGAGGCAGAGACAGGAATATTACTTGAGCTCAGAAGTTCAAGACCAGCCTGGGCAATATAATGAGACCTTTTCACAAAAAAAAAAAAAAAAAAAAAAAAAAAAAAAAAAAAAAAAAATTAAAAAATTAGCCAGGTATGGTGGGGCATGCCTGTTGTCTCAGATAGTTGGCAGGCTGAGGTAGGAGAATCCCTTAAGCCCACTGAGCTCCAGCCTGGTTGACAGAGTGAAACCTCATCTCTAAAAACAAGAAAAGTTGAAAGTAAAAGAGAAAAAAGAAGAGAAATAGTCTGGCCTAACTTATTTGATTGTAGGTCATAAAAACCCCATTCCAGAGAGGGCCTTGCCCCACACCCAGAAGGAAAGAATGTGGCACGCAGAGGCCAAGAAAAATCTAAACAAACAGACCTTGTTGTGTTTCATTACCCAGTCTTTTAGCATTAGATTATACCCTTGTCCTCCAATAATATTTCTCCATGGCTTTTCATAATTTGTTTAACCTAAGCATAAAAACGGACAGTTTCCCCTGTATCTTTGAGTCTTCATTCTGAAGGCTTCCATGTCACCTGAAATTATGATCAAATAAATGTGTATGCCATTTCTCCTATTAATCTGACCTTTGTCAGATGATGTTCAGCAAACTGTCAGAGCGTGAAGGGAAAGTTTCCCCTGGCCCCTACAGTTCAGTGACTAGTCCTTAGCAAACACTTGAAAAGTATTTAAAATCAAAACAAAACAAAAATCAAATACAAAAGGCCTTTAGAAATGTAACAATAACTATTTATGGCAAGTTATTGAATTGATAGGGAAACTCAAAGTGAGGAAAAAGAAAAGGAAAATTCAATTAGGTAAACAGTTAAGGCTGAGAGAAGTAGCCTGCCTGAAAAACCACAGCTACAGGCAAAAATAGAGCAGCCCGGGGAAAACTCAAGGTGCACCTGCACAGATAAGCAGGCAGAGTCCAGCACAGAAGCCTTTTGCTCTTTGTGTGATTAGTGAGCTCCCAGGAAAAAGTTTCCTCCCCTTTTCAGCCATATACACAGTGGGCTCAGTGGGAACTTACACAGGGAGGAGGGGGGCTTACCTAGAGCTAACCCACAGTTATACAAACAAGAGAAGCTGTGCATTGTGCCTACCTTGAGACATACCCACAAGTACATACATAAGAGGGAATCATACAGACAGCTTTCCAGGTAAGAGAAGTTGTTCAAACAGCCACAGAGGTGAGAAGAGTTTTTGTAAAAGCTTTTGAATTCAACTGTAAAAACAGCAACCCACTTGGGCTACCCTCTCCGTTGCAAAGAGCTTTTTTCTTTCATTTATGAAACTTTCATTCCAACCTTGGGCTGTGGTCACTAGTATTGGCTCAAATATACCTCTTAAATATTTGGCAGACTTTGGTTGGTTTTTCCACTGTCATCTGGTTGGCACTGAGATGGAAGCAGGAAAATAAAAAATAGGATAAATATAGTAAGGCCAGTTATACATTTAAATATTCTTTATAACTCAGCAAAATTATCTTACTGTTTTCTAGTTAAAACCCTGAATCAAAAATACAAGCAAAAGTTATAAATTGGATTCTTGAGAACTACTCTGTTAATCTGATGAGGTACAATGCTTGAGTTTTGTTTGTTTTGTAAATAATGGTAGCAAAATAGAAATTTGAGTTAGGTGAATGTTAACTAACCTGCCATAATTTTGCTATGATATTATAAAAGAAGCAAGTCTTAAAACTGAATGCTGCCACATTTGAGAATTTCTTAAGCAAAAAGTTACATCCATACAGGTATGAAACAATTCATCTATTTTTTGTAGGCTCAACGAAGTCTAGCTATTTGTCTTTTTATACTACCTCTTTGAATGAAAGGTCAAGTAGAGTAGATAATACGTATTTCCAAGGACAAGAATTAACTATGACATTTATAGCCAGTATCAGAAAACCAAACGATTCCTATTCCAATATATGAACACAGGATAATTTGAGGCTCAAAACTCAGATACTATCTTTAAGATGTAGGTTACAGACCTTGGTAGATTCTTTACTCTTTTTGAAAGAGTGGGCATTGTCTCTAAAATATTTTAGCTAATCCAAAAATTTCAGTTTGGTTTTTCCACAAAATGTAAACAAATTTAATTTTTCCAGTGAAAAGTGATTTCTAACATTCACTTGTTAATTACCGAATACTAACATACAAATTAAATGTATTTCTTTACAGACTTCATTTTTCTATCCAAATCCCTTTTTTATTGCAATGCAGATCAAAGGAGAAAAAGTCAAGATGATTGTTTTCAATTACTAAGGCGTTAAGCATGATCTTATGCTTTAAACTCTAAAAATAGTCCATAGGAAAGCAACCATAATATTTACAGATTTGATACAGTGAGGTTTTCCAAATTTTTCACTTCCGAATAGTATAGATCTTCTAAATTCATGTTTTTATTTCTAATTTTTTCATCCTGATGTTTTTTAAGGGTACTCTTTAAAGGGGATAACAAGTTTGAAATTTCTGTTACACATTGTGATGTTTTGTATTTAGAAGGTGAGTTAACATTTTCATTTTGTTACAATACAATTTAGTGGCATAATGTTTCTTATTAGGAAACTCTGATTATTCTTTCAGAATTCTAATTTTTTTTAAAAAAAAATCATGGTTGCCTGAAAGGTTTATTGAAGTTAATGACTGCCAACAGTATAGCTGTATTTCAATTAGAAAAAAATAAATCCAATGATACCTTTCCCAGTGCTCAACATCTATCTACAACTAGGAAGAATACAATTTTCATTTTTAGTTTTTTAAAATACTTTTTGTTATCGTTGCACTTGTTTGCTGTAATTGTTATTATTATTTTATTTTTATTTAGTTCTATTTTTATTCTTTTGTTTTTATTCTAACATAAAATTGTTTATTCTTGAAAGCCGTATTAAATAGGTGCCAGTTCCTATCTGTGAAATCGGGTTGTTACTCTTTAATATGATTTTATATAGTACCTGGGATGAAGTAAATACATAAAAACGATTAGTCATTTCTGTATAAGACACATCCAATAATTATAGTGTTAGCTACTTTTTAATGAAATGTAATTTAATTGTACTCCTTGTGAAAATATCTTGGCTATACATCACTGCTGTTTCAAGACGTTTTTATCTTGTTCGTAGTAAAGGCATTAGTGTTTTATTTGTTTTGAGAATTGTAATTTAATTATATCTACACTTCTTTCTTAGTTAAATGCTGTTTACCCTCAAGATTTATATTCTCTTCATATCTGATTGGAAAAGATATCCAATTCCCCCTAATAACAAAGCCATGCTTTATCTTTTAGTGGCAGTAGGTAATAATAAAGCTGTTTCTTTATTTTTTTTCCTTCATTGTTCATGGTCAGCAGTAAAAAGAGAAGCCAAACTACTCATTAAGCTGTATATTTGATAGACTTTATAAAGTAATCTTCAATAGCAAATAAGAAAGAAACAAAACTGAGCAATAAATAAAGCTACAAATTGAAATGAATTGCACATTGCCTGGAAAATTATAAAGACACAAAATAAGAAAATTCTGTTTGTGAAGCATGCCTTGCTTGCTTTTCTTTTTTGTTTCATAGAAGCCATTTGGGAGAGAAATATTTATATTTTTACATATATATATTTTTGTAGAAGAGTAGTAATTATTATCTTCAAGTTTCATTTTACTTTTTTCTAAAGTATGATATAATTATTTAGTAGCTTGACTGTTGGGCCATAAACTTATTCCAGTATAAAATCCCACTACTACCACACATGTAAAGGAGCTATAGGAAGCATAACAACTTTCCGTCCCTCTTCTTTCTCTCTCTCTCTCCCTTTTACCCTTTCCTCCTCACCCTCCCTCCCTCCAGGTTATTTAAGAACTGCAACTAATATTGACTTGTTTTCTTGGCCAAAGTTGACCTGTTCTGTGGTAGATACTTTTCCATAGTTGGACCTATCACTATATACTCATGTCACCAACTTGGGGAAATCCCAGGACCAATATTTCAGCAAAGAACCTGTCGTCATCTCTATTACAGTCTCTAGAATATCATATAAGAGTTTCATATTAGGTTTTTAGAATGTTTAATGCAAGAAATATAATTTTAAAAATAGCTGAAGTGAGTTCCATGATAGTTTTTCAGGATCAATAGAAACAGAGCAGACAAAGAATGACTTTCCATATCTGTTTAGGCATTTTAGTTTTTCTAGATAAAGCCCGCAATCCATCCATGCAACTTTTATTTATGAATGGAAAAATAAAAGATAAACAATACATATCACCTAAGCAGTCTCAAATTATCTGTGATAAAGATACCTTAAAAATCCAAACAATTACATATTACTACTTAAAAAAGAAAAACAATAAAAATACGTCATTGTCAAGTCCTCAAAAAGTTTCTAAATGTTTATTGCCTATTTCTGTACTTAGCCTATCAAAGACCTATAACAAATAATTCATAGCAGACCATACTTTGAGTAGCACTGCCCTGAATATCTTTATTCCCATGGAAATGTCACAGTATCTAGTGGGATTAGATTTTACTGGGAGGACCAAATTAAGAGCATCATAAATGAGAGATGATAAGAGTATATTTCTATTTCACATAAAGTCTGAAGGTATGCATACCAGCGCTAGTATGGCAACTCTTCCTCATGGAGACCCCAAGACCCTTTCACTCCATCACTGATACACCTGAACTCCCTCAGTTTTCTCTATGGGATATATTAAGACTTTAGCACTTGTCATCACATCTGTATAAAGGCAGCAGGAGTGAGGAAAGAACAAATTCAACGAGGAAAACCCCCATATCAGCTGTCTTTTGAAGAAATTTGAAGCTGGTGCATGGCACTTCTCTTTTCATCCTATTAGCCAAAAATTAACAATGTGGCCACACTTAACAATAAGAGAGTTTATGAAGTGTGGCCTTTTGTTGCCATTGCTTTTGGTGTTTTAGACATGAAGTTCTTGCCCATGCCTATGTCCTGAATGGTATTACCTAGGGTTTCTTCTAGGGCTTTTATGGTTTTAGGTCTAATATTTAAGTCTTTAATCCATCTTGAATTAATTTTTGTATAAGGTGTAAGGAAGGGATCCAGTTTCAGCTTTCTACATATGGCTAGCCAGTTTTCCCAGCACCATCTATTAAATAGGGAATCCTTTCCCCATTGCTTGTTTTTGTCAGGTTTGTCAAAGATCAGATAGTTGTAGATGTGTGGTATTATTTCTGAGGGCTCTGTTCTCTTCCATTGGTCTATATCTCTGTTTTGGTATCAGTACCATGCTGTTTTGGTTACTGTAGCCTTGTAGTATACTTTGAAGTCAGGTAGTGTGATGCCTCCAGCTTTGTTCTTTTGGCTTAGGATTGACTTGGCAATGTGGGCTCTTTTTTGGTTCCATATGAACTTTAAAGCAGTTTTTTCCAATTCTGTGAAGAAAGTCATTGGTAGCTTGATGGGGATGGCATTGAATCTATAAATTACCTTGGGCAGTATGGCCATTTTCAAAAGCCAAAATTGACAAATGGGATCTAATTAAACTAAAGAGCTTCTGCACAGCAAAAGAAACTAAAATCAGAGTGAACAGGCAACCTACAGAATGGGACAAAATTTTTGCAATCTACTCATCTGACAAACGGCTAATATCCAGAATCTACAAAGAACTCAAATTTACAAGAAAAAAGCAAACAACCCCATCAAAAAGTGGGCAAAGGATATGAACAGACACTTCTCAAAAGAAGACATTTATGCAGCCAACAGACACATGAAAAAATGCTCATCATCACTGGCCATCAGAGAAATGCAAATCAAAACCTCAATGAGATACCATCCCACACTAGTTAGAATGGTGATCATTAAAATGTCAGGAAACAACAGATGCTGGAGAGGATGTGGAGAAATAGGAACACTTTTACACTGTTGGTGGGACTCTAAACTGGTTCAACCATTGTAGAAGACAGTGTGGCGATTCCTCAGGGATCTAGAACTAGAAATACTATTTGACCCAGCCATCCCATTACTGGGTATATATACCCAAAGGATTATAAAACATGCTGCTATAAAGACACATGCACACATATGTTTATTGTGGGACTATTCACAATAGCAAAGACCTGGAACTAACCCAAATGTCCAACAATGATAGAGTGGATTAAGAAAATGTGGCACATATACACCGTGGAATACTATGCAGCCATAAAAAATGATGAGTTCATGTCCTTTGTAGGGACATGGGTGAAGCTGGAAACCATCATTCTCAGCAAACTATCACAAGGACAAAAAAACAAACATCACATGTTCTCACTCATAGGTGGGAATTGAACAATGAGAACACTTGGACACAGGAAGGGTGACATCCCACACTGGGGCCTGTTGTGGGGTGGGGGGAATGGGGAGGGATAGCATTAGGAGATATACCTAATGTAAATGACGAGTTAATGGGTGTAGCACACCAACATGGCATGTGTATACATATGTAACAAACCTGCACTTTGTGCACATGTACACTAGAACTTAAAGTATAATTAAAAAAAAAAAAAACAAAGAAATGTCTTTATCCTGGAGAGTTTGATTACTTCCAAAGTAGGGAAGAAAAAACTGCAAACCATAATGTTAAATCATTAAATAGGTAAAATTTTATGTTCGTAAGAATTTTCAGCAATTATGCATTTGATTCATTATTTCATAAATTTCTATCTAAAGTTTATTTGTCCTTCAAAACTTCTGAAATAGTAGAGAAGTAACTTTCTGTTCCAAAATTGGAATTACTGGAGCTCAGTTTCTGTTCATATTCTGTCCATTCCAAAAAATAAAATGTGGATTTAATTTTAGTACAGTTCAGTGACTCTCTTTATTAGATGTGAATGATAAAGTTCATTTTATTGCCTCAGTGACTTTGACATAACTGGACAATCATTTCCCCAACAGTGTCATTTACTGAAGAGACAAAAGGAAGATACAATATTATCATTTTAGCTTTCACAAGAGCATATGACTTCTGGGATGGATTACGTTCTGCCATGGAAAATTTCATGGTCACTTTAGATATTTCAGGTAGAACTTTTATAATATATGCCCTTTAAGGAACTAATTCAAAAGGATTGTGCTTAAACACACCTAGAGGACTTTTTTCCTAATAAAGTTTATTCAGTCACATTGCCTAAAGTCACTGTCAATGGAATTTACTACTCCAAATGGTACACCATAAAGAACAGAATACTCGTATTTATTCTGAAGTATGTGAAGATGAAACTTATTGATAAAAGAGATATTTGACTCTTTTGTACTTTGTTAAGAAGCTTGCCCAGTAATTTCTGCTTTGCTCTAAACATTTTCTTCTTCAGTGCCCACACCAAGGACAAAAAAAGGAATAAAAGAAAGATGGTTTGGCTTAGAATATACTTGAGGGCACTACTGAGATTACATTTATTAGGACTGGACACTTGATTATATAAATATTTATGTACTAGAATAAATGAGTCTCTATAACCTTTTGTTTTTTCTGAGATTGGCAGTTTCGTGTTAATTATTCATTTTCTCACTTTGTGGCCTTAATATTTGAGTCACATTTGGAGTTCAGAATGAGGTAGTTTAGCAGTCGATCTCAGAGATTATTAGATCTTGGATGAAGTCAGTGATAGTAACACTGAACAAATGTGAAAAATTTGAAGTTATTTTTTGGAGTGTACCTCAAAGGCCTTGATGATGGACTGCAGCTGGGAGAGAGTCTTGGGTGATTCCTAGGTTTCTAGGTTCGTGAAACTGATTAGATACTGGTATCATTCATTGAAATATTGGAAGTAAAAAGGAGTATGTTTTGAAATCAGTGATGCAAACAGTTTCAGAATGGGTGTAACACACGGAAGAATATACCACACAAATTCAAAATAACATATTCTTGGAATATAGAAAAATAACTTAGAAGTCATCTAATCTGCCATCTCAGATAGTGACAGTTATATTGCTTCTGCTTGGATACTTCAAATGATAATATTCTCTTAGCTTTACAAATAGAGGAGAATACTTTTTAAAACATACGTCAGTTTTTGATATTCTGCTTATGATAGGGCCACATCTGCCTCTTTGTGTAATATATTGATGTAAAAAGTAGAGTTCTATAGAACTTTACCTGTTCAAGATGATATTAACATTTCTTAATAAAACATTTATTAAACATATACTATAAAAACATTTATTTTTTCTGTATGTTTATTTCTTATTAAAATGTAAAATATTTTATATTTTATAAGATGTAAAATATACTCTGTAAACAAAAATAATTGGATGATCTTTTTTCCTAGTTTCTAGAAGGTAGCCTCTAAATCCACGGGATAGCCTAAGGATATTTGTTGTTTACGCTGGGCCCCTCAAACTATTTTGCTGATAAGCTGAGTCATGGTGGGCCCCTACAAAGTTTATGCTAACAAAATGAGTCAGAATGAGGGCAGACCACCAGAAGGACCAACTATGTAATTAGAGGGTCAGCCTAATCTCAGGAAAAGAAAAGGCTAGTGACTGACTTTAATCTCCTGGTCAATGATTCAATCATTCTGACATAATGAAACCCCAAGAGAAGCCCTGGACATTGAGGGTGATAGGAAGTTCCCTAGTTGGCTATACTCTGCATACTGTCATCTATTGATGTGCCAAGTGATTAATGATCCTAGTGATGATGGAAGCTTTGCAGGTGGCACCCTCCCAGACCTCTCCCTCTGAGTCTCTCCCTTTGACTGGTTGTGATTTTTGCTACAATAAAATCAGAATAATAAGTATAGCACTTTTCTGAGTCCTGTGAGTTATTCTAACAAAGAATTGAATTTGAAATTGTTGCAGCTACCTACAGATTTGTAGCCAATGGTTAAAACTGAATGTAGCCTGAGAACCCTTACATTTGTGACTATTGTCTTAAGTGAGGTCAGTCTTGTGAAGGATTGTGTTTTTAATCACAAAGCTTGGCCTGCTTCTGAATAGTCAGTAGTAGAAGTACTGCATATTTGCATCATTATCATCCTAGGTTATGACTTTTTAATTTCATTACAGCTTATTGATTTTTTATACCAGAACAGATGCTTGTTTTTGGATATTATCATAAACTATACCCATGCACACCTGGATATTTTAAAAGATTTGAAAAACTCTATCTAAATATTAGCTATAAACTGGGTGCAGTGGTGCATTCCTATAGTCCCAGCTACTTGGAAGGCTAAGGCAGGAGGATCACTTGAACCTAGGAGTTCAAATTTAGCCTGGGCAAAAATAGCAAAACCCTGTCTCAAAAAATAAATAAATTACTTAACTATATTATTTAGAGTGATGTGTGATGTTAAGTAATACTGTTTTGAGAACAGATACGTCTGTTTTGAGAACAGATTCTTCTGTTTTTTTGAGGGGTAGAATATCATAGGTATTATATGTGAAATAATAAAGTATTGAGGGCTTGAGGTGTTTTTCTAGTTGCAAGCTAATCAATTAGTCTGCCATAGTTTTATATATATTGAGAGATATTTCAGACTGCTGGATCAGAGAAACATACCACGTATTATTTTACACACCAAAACCACCAAGCCAGAGTAGCATCTTAATACACATTTATTGAATCCCAGTCTTCAAACAGTGAGAACCAGATATCTGGGCATGCAGTGGGTTTGCCTTACAGGAGAGGAACTCCAAAGTATGCCACTCAGTGCTTATACAGGAACAGCCAGTATATCTGCCTGTTTTTCCTTCCGGAGAAAGAGACTTTATCTTTAACCTTGAATATCAAGAGATCCTCTCTGCTTATGAGGAGGTGAAGCTTTCTGGGTTTATTATCTTGACAAGCTATTATTCCTGTATAACAGAATTCCTATCTTTGTTGTTAAATCTGGATAAATGTGTATGTATACCTTTACAGACACAATTGCATATATATTTTACTAAGAATTTCTTTACATACGAATAGGATCATATATATGTATAGTCAGAACTGTATCTGTGTGTGGTTGTATATATCTTTTAAATCTCCGCTATCCAAGAAAACCACCATCTATGAATGAGGAAGTGGGCCCCCATCAGACACCAAATCTCCTGGCACCTTGACCTTGGACTTCTCAGCCTTCAGAACTGCGAGAAATAGTGTTTGTTGTTCAATCCATAAAGTCTATGCTATTTTTGTTATGGTAGCTAAAATGGACTAAGATTACAGCCTGCATAATTGATGCACTAAAACTTTTGACATATGAAGAAAATAATTGATAAATTGTTGAGAGAAATATTTTGTATTTAAGAAATAATTTCTGATTGACTTTAAAATCTTTATATGAACTGTTGAACTAAACCAATAGACTCCAGATGTGCTCATTATTTTATTACAATATATAATAAGAAATCAAGTGAAACAAAAGCCAAGAAATAAAGTAGGAAAGGAAGAATTACTTAGTTTGTCAATGTACAAATCATTTCATTAAGGTGCTTGCAAAATTGGGTTTTTTCTGAGTGCTTGGTGTTTTGTCTCTGCAGAATCAATGAATCTCCTTTGTTATTAGGTGATAACAGTTGAATTAGAGATTATACCTCTCTTTTGAAGTCCATTATAAAACCTAACAGAGTAACCAGTCAATGTCAATTTGTGTGTGCCATTTTCAGTTAGGTTCCTCTGAATCAGAAAAAAGAATAGCATGGGAGAAAAGAAGAACGGCAAGATGACTAGAAGCCAAGAACTAGACTTAAAATGCAGTTTCAGAAGAAGAGTTGTGTGCCTGTTACTAGCTGTTCTAAGAATAGTAAGAAAAGGAGGATACTTTAGCAAACTGAATGTTAAACAAATATTAATGGATCTCTTTGTAGAAACAGAAATGACAATACTTGCAAAGGAAACAATCAGAAAAGATAAATGAGTTGGGATCATAAAAGAGAAATTCAGACAACCGTGTCAGTATAAAATAAGGATGACAGGAAAGTAGTCAGTGAGATGTAACTCATTTCATTGATCTGCAATAGTGCATTTTTTAGGGTGAGAAAATGGTGCTATTGAATGTATATATATTAAGATTAAAATTTGACATTCTAAACAACATAAAACAAAAAAACTTGTATCTAAAAGTCATTCTTGGGCAATTGGATCACTTAATGTAAATTGAATTTTGCAATTTTTTTTTTTTTGAGACAGAGTTTTGCTTTTTTTGCCCAGGCTGGAGTGCAATGGTGTGATCTTGGCTCACTGCAACCTCTGCCTCCCGAGTTCAAGCAATTCTCCTGCCTCAGCCTCCCAAGTAGCTGGGATTACAGGTGCCTGCCACCACACCTGGCTAATTTTTTTGTATTTTTAGTAGAGACGGGGTTTCACCATGTTGGCCAGGATGGTCTCGATCTCATGACCTCATGATCCTCTTGCCTCGGCCTCCCAAAGTGCTAGGATTACAGGTGTGAGCCACCGCGCCCAGCCGTAAATTGAATTTTGTAAACAATGCAGTTTTCAAAAATATATCTATTGGAAAATATATTCCAACTGAATTTTCTGGGTATTGAAAGTTTCTGTAAGAAATTAGGTATAAAACATTAGATAAAAAGTTTTATTTGTCAGTTAATAGAGTTGCTAAAATGTAATCAAAAGAAGTTTTATTTGACGTAGGAATCTTCAAAGACTTTAATATACTAATATGTACTATAAGTAATTTGGTTAATATATAGTTTTCAGTATTTCCTCAATAATTTCCCCCTTTTTCTCATTCATTTATTCACTCCTCCTTCACTCAGAAAAACACTTTTTTACGTGTCTTCCAAATACCAGGCACTGTTCTAGGCAGTGGGAATACAGCAATGCAAAAAAGACAAAAAATTCTGCCTTCATATATTTTGTTTTCAAATTGAGCATCTTCTGGGTCTAATAGTATATGTGACAGTTTTTGAAAATATATAAACATATTGTCTCAGAATTTAAACAGGGTTATAGGTAATACTTGTATAAGTAAAATAACATTGTGGCTTTGGATATTTTGTGAACAGAGATCTTGACTATTTTGATACTGCTTTGCAAATACAAATACATCTATTTTTATGTAGTTGAGATTATTATTATTTTTCTAATTAGTTTGCCCTTAATTAAGATGTTAAGATCAAAGCTAATTTCTTAATCTTAGTGAATTGTTGTTTCATGGAAAACTAAAGGACTATATGCTTAAATTTTTCTTATTATTATTTTAAGTTCTAGGGTACATGTGCAAATGCGCAGGTTTGACACATAGGTATACATGTGCCATGTCGGTTTGCTGCACCCATCAACTCATCATTTACATTAGGTATTTCTCCTAATGCTATCCCTCCCCCAGCACCCCCACCCCCTGACAGGCCCTGGTGTGTCATGTTCCCTGCTCTGTGTCCAAGTGATCTCACTGTTCAGTTCCCACCTATGAGTGACAACATGCGGTGTTTGGTTTTCTGTCCTTGCGATAGTTTGCTGAGAATGATGGTTTCCAGCTTCATCAATGTCCCTGCAAAGGACATGAACTCATCATTTTTTATGGCTGCATAGTATTCCATGGTGTATATGTGCCACATGTTCTTCATCCAATCTATCATTGATGGATATTTGGGTTGGTTCCAAGTCTTTGCTATTGTGAATAGTGCCTCAGTAAACATACGTGTGCATACGTCTTTATAGTAGCATGATTTATAATCCTTTGGGTACATACCCAGTAATGCGATTGCTGGGTCAAATGGTAATTCTAGTTTTAGATCCCTGAGGAATCACCACACTGTCTTCCACAATGATTAAACTAATTTACACTCCCACCAACAGTGTAAAAGATTTCCTATTTCTCCACATCCTCTCCAGCATCTGTTGTTTCCTGACTTTTTAATGATTGTCATTCTAATTGGTGTGAGAGGGTATCTCATTGTGGTTTTGATTTGCATTTCTCTGACGACCAGTGATAATGAGCATCTGTTGGCTGCATAGATGTCTTCTTTTGAGAAGTCTCTGTTCATATCCTTTGCTCACTTGTTGATGGGCTTGTTTTTTTCTTGTGAATTTGAGTTCTTTGTAGATTCTGGATATTAGCCCTTTGTCAGATGGGTAGATTGCAAAAATTTTCTCCCATTCTGTAGGTTGCCTGTTCACTCTGCTGGTAGTTTCCTTTGCCATGCAGAAGCTCTTTAGTTTAATTAGGTGCCATTTGTCTATTTTGGCTTTGCTTTTTGCCAAAAAAGCATTGCTTTTTTTGTTTTGTTTTTTGTTTTTGCCAAAAGAGCATTGCTTTTTTTTGTTTTTTTCTGCCAAAAAAGCATTGCTTTTTTGCTGGCATTGCTTTTGGTGTTTTAGCCATGAAGTCCTTGCCCATGCCTATGTCCTGAATGGTGTTACCTAGGTTTTCTTCTAGGGATTTTATGGTTTCAGGCCTAATATTTAAGTCTTTAATCCATCTTGAATTAATTTTTGTATAATGTGTAATGAAGGGATCCAGTTTCAGCTTTCTACATATGGCTAGCCAGTTTTCCCAGCACCATTTATTAAATAGGGAATCCTTTCTCCATTTCTTGTTTTTCTCAGGTTTGTCAAAGATCAGATGGTTGTAGATGTGTGGTGTTATTTCTGAGGCCTGTGTTCTGTTCTATTGGTCTATATTTCTGTTTTTGTACCAGTACCATGCTGTTTTGGTTACTGTAGCCTTGTAGTATAGTTTGAAGTCAGGTAGTGTGATGCCTCCAGCTTTGTTCTTTTGGCTTAGGATTGACTTGGCAATGCAGGCTGTTTTTTGGTTCCATATGAACTTTAAAGTAGTTTTTTCCAATTCTGTGAAGAAAGTCATTGGTAGCTTGATTGGGATGGCATTGAATCTATAAATTACCTTGGGCCGTATGGCCATTTTCACGATATTGATTCTCCCTATCCATGAGCATGGAATATTCTTCCATTTGTTTGTGTCCTCTTTTATTTCATTGAGCAGTGATTTGTAGTTCTCCTTGAAGAATTCCTTCACATCCCTTGTAACTTGGATTCCTATGTATTTTATTCTCTTTTTAGCAATTGTGAATGGGAATTCACTCATGATTTGGCTCTCTGTTTGTCTGTTATTTGTGTATGGGAATGCTTGTGATTTTTGCACATTGGTTTTGTATCCTGAGAATTTGCTGAAGTTGCTTATCAGCTTAAGGGGATTTTGGGCTGAGATGATGGGGTTTTCTAAATATACAATTATGTAATCTGCAAACAGGGACAATTTGACTTCCTCTTTTCCTAATTGAATACCCTTTATTTCTTTCTCTTGCCTAATTGCCTTGGCCAAAACTTCCAACACTATGTTGAAAAGGAGTGGTGAGAGAGGGCATCCTTGTCTTGTGCTGGTGTTCAAAGGGAATGCTTCCAGCTTTTGCCCATTCAGTATGATATTGGCTGTGGGTTTGTCATAAATAGCTCTTATTATTTTGAGATACGTTCCATCAATACTTAGTTTATTGAGAGATTTTAGCATGAAAGGCTGTAATTTTTGTCAAAGGCCTTTTCTGCATCTATTGAGATAATCATGTGGTTTTTGTCATTGGTTCTGTTTATGTGATGGGTTACCTTTATTGATTTGTGTATTTTGAACCAGCCTTGCATCCCAGGGATGAAGCCCACTTGATCATGGTGGATAAGCTTTTTGATATGCTGCTGGATTTGGTTTGCCAGTATTTTACTGAAGATTTTTGCTTCGATGTTCATCAGGGATATTGGTCTAAAATTCTCTTTTTTTGTTGTGTCTCTGCCAGGCTTTAGTATCAGGATGATGTTGGCCTCATAAAATGAGTTAGGGAAGACTCCCTCTTTTTCTATTTATTGGAATAGTTTCAGAAGGAATGGTACCACCTCCTCTTTGTACCACTGGTAGAATTTGGCTGGGAATCCATCTGGTCCTGGACTTTTTTGGGTTGGCAGGCTATTAATTATTGTCTCAATTTCAGAGCCTGTTATTGGTCTATTCAAAGATTCAACTTCTTCCTGCCTTAGTCTTGGGAGGGTGTATGTGTCCAGGAATTTATCCATTTCTTCTAGATTTTCTAGTTTATTTGCATAGAGGTGTTTATAGTATTCTCTGATGGTAGTTTGTATTTCTGTGGGATCGGTGGTGGTATCCCTCTTATTTTTTATTGCATCTATTTGATTCTTCTCTCTTTTCTTCTTTATTAGTCTTGCTAGTGGTCTATCAATTTTGTTCATCTTTTCAAAAAAAAAGCTCCTAGATTCATTGATTTTTGAAGGTTTTTTTGTGTCTATCTCTTTCAGTTCTGCTCTGATCTTAGTTATTTTTTGCCTTCTGCTAGCTTTTGAATTTGTTTGCTCTCTTGCTTCTCTAGTTCTTTTAATTGTGATGTTAGGGTATCGATTTTAGATCTTTCCTGCTTTCTCTTGTGGGCATTTAGTGCTATAAATTTCCCTCTACACACTGCTTTAAATGTGTCCCAGAGATTCTTGTACATTGTGTTTTTGTTCTCATTGGTTTCAAAGAACAACCTTATTTCTGCCTTCATTTCGTTATTTACCCAGTAGTCATTCAGTGGCAAGTTGTTCAGTTTCCATGCAGTTGTGCAGTTTTGAGTGAGTTTCTTAATCCTGAGTTCTAATTTGCACATGGTCTGAGAGACAGTTTGTTGTGATTTTTGTTCTTTTACATTTGCTGAGGGATGATTTACTTCCAATTATGTGGTCAATTTTAGAATGAGTGCAATGTGGTGTTGAGAAGAATGTATATGCTGTTGATTTGGGGTGGAGAGTTCTGTGGATGTCTATTAGGTCTGCTTGTTGCAGAGCTGAGTTCAGGTCCTGGATATCCTTGTTAACCTTCTGTCTTGTTGATATGTCTAATTTTGACAGTGGGGTGTTAAAGTCTCCCATTATTATTGTGTGGGAGTCTTAGTCTCTTTGTAGCTTTCTAAAGACTTCTTTTATGAATCTGGATGCTACTGTATTTGGTGCATATATATTTAGGACAGTTAGCTCTTCTTGTTGAATTGATCCCTTTACCATTATGTAATGGCTTTCTTTGTCTCTTTTCATCTTTGCTGGTTTAAAGTCTATTTTATCAGAGACTAGGATTGCAACCCCTGCTTTTTTTTTTTCTTTACATTTGCTGGGTGTATCTCCCTCCATCCCTTTATTTTAAGCCTATGTGCGTCTTTGCACTTGAGATGGCTCTCCTGAATACAGCACACTGATGGGTCTTGACTCTATCTATTTTTCCAGTCTGTTTCTTTTAACTGGATCATCTAGCCCATTTACATTTAAGGTTAATATTGTTGTGTGTGAATTTGATCCTGTCATTATGATGATTGCTGGTTATTTTGCCCACTAATTGATCCAGTTTCTTCATAGCCTCAATGGTCTTTACAATTTGGCCTGTTTTTGCATGGCTGGTACCAGTTGTTTCTTTCCATGTTTAGTCCTTCCTTTAGGAGCTCTTGTAAGGCACGCCTGGTGGTGTGAAAATCTCTCAGCATTTGCTTGTCTGTAAAGGATTTTATTTCTCCTTCACTTATGAAGCTTAATTTGGCTGGATATGAAATTCTGGGTTGAAAATTATTTTCTTTAAGAATGTTGAATATTGGCCCCCACTCTCTTCTGGCTTGCAGGGTTTCTGCTGAGAGATCCGCTGTTAGTTTTATGGGCTTCCCTTTGTGGGTAACTCAACCTTTCTCTCTGGCTGCCCTTAACATTTTTTCCCTCATTTCAACCTTGGTGAATCTTGGTGAATCCAACAATTATGTGTCTTGGGGTTGCTCTTCTCGAGGATTATCTTTGTGGTATTCTTTGTATTTCCTGAATTTGAATGTTGGCCACCTTGCTATGCTGGCGAAGTTCTCCTGGATAATATCCTGAAGAGTGTTTTCCAACTTGGTTCCATTCTCCCCATCACTTACAGGTACACCAATCAAACGTAGATTTGGTCTTTTCACATAGTCCCATATTTCTTGGAGGCTTTGTTCGTTTCTTTTTACTCTTTTTTCTCTAACCTTGTTTTCTTGCTTTATTTCCTTAATTTGATCATCAATCACTGATACTCTTTCTTCCACTTGATCAAATCAGCTATTGAAGCTTGTGCATGCGTCACAGAGTTCTTGTGCCATGGTTTTCAGCTCCATCAGGTCATTTAAGGTCTTCTCTACACTGTTTATTCTAGTTAGCCATTTGTCTAATTTTTTTTTCAAGGTTTTTAGCTTCCTTGTAATGGGTTCGAACATCCTCTTTTAGCTCAGAGGATTTTATCACTGATCTTCTGAAGCCTACTTCTGTCAACTCATCAAAGTCATTCTCCATCTAGCTTTGTTCCATTGCTGGTGAGGAGTTGTGATCCTTTGGAGGAGAAAAGGTACTCTAATTTTTAGAATTTTTAGCTGTTCTGCTCTGGTTTCTCCCCATCTTTGTGGTTTTATCTACCTCTAGTCTTTGATGTTGGTGACCTACAGATGGGGTTTTGGTGTAGATTACCTTTTTGTTGATGTTGATGCTATTCCTTTCGGTTAGTTTTCCTTCTAACAGTCAGGTCCCTCAGCTGCAGGTCTGTTGGAGTTTGCTGGAGTTCCACTCCACACCCTGTTTGCCTGGGTATAACCAGCGGAGGCTGCAGAACAGCAAATATTGCTGCCTGATCCTTCCTCTGGAAGCTTCATCCCAGAGGGGTAGCCTATATGAGGTGTCTGTGGGCCCCTACTGGGAGGTGTCTCTCAATTAGGCTACACAGGGGTCAGGGACGCACTTGAGGAGGAAGTCTGTCCATTCTCAGCACTCAAATCCCATGCTGGGAGAACCACTGCTCCCTTCAGAGCTGTCAGACTGGGACGTTTAAGTCTGCAGAAGTTGTCTGCTGCCTTTCTTTCAGCTATGCCCTGCCCACAGAGATGGCGTCTAGAGGCAGTAGGCCTTGTTGAGCTGTGATGGGCTCCACCCAGTTTGAGCTTCCTGGATGCTTTGTTTACCTACTCAAGCCTCAGCAATGGCAGATGCCCATCCCCCAGCCAGGCTGCCTTCTTGGGGATCAATCTCAGAATGCTGCGCTAGCACTGAGCAAGGCTTCGTGGGTGTGGGAGCTGCCAAGCCAGGCATGGGTGAGAAGCATCTTGTCTGCTGGTTGCTAAGACCTTGGGAACAGTACAGTATTTGGGCAACAGTGTCTCATTTTTCCAGGTAATCTGTGACGGCTTCCCTTGGCTGGGCTGCACCCACTCTCCAACCAGTCCCAATGAGATGAACCAGGTACCTCAGCTGGAAATGCAGAAATCACTCGTTTTCTGCATCGATCATGCTGGGAGCTGCAGACTGGAGCTGTTCCTATTTGGCCACCTTGGAATGCCCTAATGTTTAAACATTTAGGCCCTTGTTTCAGTCAGCATTCTCCAGAGATACAAAGCATATTACAGAATGTGTGTGTGTATGTGTGTGTGTGTGTTTGTGTGTCTTCTGAGAGAGAGAGAAAGGAAAAAGAGATTTTAAGGAATTGACTCAGACAATTGTGTTGGCTGGCAAATTTGAAATCTATAGGAGATGAAGCTGAAAATTTATGTAAGAGTTGATATTGCAGTCTTGAATCTGAAATCCATAGGGCAGGACAGTAGGCTGGACACTTACCTGGGCTTTCTATGTTATAGCCATAAGGCAGAATCCCTTATTTCCAAAGGGAATTCAGTTTTTGCTCTTAAGGCCGTCAACTGACTGGATGAGGCCTGCTCACAATATGAAAAGTAATTGGCTTTACTTAAAGTCAACTGGTTTTAAATGTTAATTACCTCTCGAAAATGTCTTCACAGCAATGTCTAGCCTGGTTTTTGTCCACACAACTGGGTTCTGTAGAATAGACAAGTTAACCATAAAACTATCACAGCCCTCAAATTAAAAATAAAATATATCTAACAAATATAGTTCCAAAATATACTAAAGATCTATATGCTCTTTTTATAATGTAAAATGTATTTAATAATATGCAAATATTGTTTAAAAACTCAAGTATTTCTAAAACAATTCTCACCAAGCCATCTCTTCTTGACACCTAGTTCCACAATCTAGAAGGATGCATACTACATAAGCTGTTTCTTCTGGTGGTTATCTCCATAAGAATTACAATATCCCACGCTACTCTTTCTTGTTTCACCCACTTTTAACATTCTCTGTGGCTTGCTCTAATGATAAATGGGTCAGATTCCTAAGAAGCCCAGTAGACTTGTGCCATTCAAACCCTCCCAACCGTGATCCTTCTTTCTCAGGCATCTGACACCAACAAAGCAACCAGCCTGCCTCCCCTCCCTCTCAGCACCCCACTTCCTTAGGCATTGGGAATGCCAGCTAAGATGTCTGCTAAGTGCCCTGATTCCTTAGAGGCTGATATTTGTGTGTTAAAAGGGGACATGGAAGAAGGGGAATTTAAAAAGGAAGGTAGGGAGAAAAATTGAAGAAGACAAAAAATGGTAAAGGTCATAATTTTTTCTTGCAAAGTAACATGTTCAAGAGACATCTCTTATTATTAATCTATCTCTAAATCCTAACTGACTAATAAAGATTTCCACCTTTTTAAGAATTTTTTAAATTTATTTGAACACTTTATAAATTGCATTTTCTTAAAATGTATATATTCATATATACAGACACACCTACATATATATACAGATATATTCAAAGATACCCCTCCTTCTCTCTTTCCTTCTTTCCTTTTTTCCTCCCTCCCTTCCTCTCCCTTTCATTTTCTTCCTTTCTTTGTCTTCTCCCTTTTTATGTCAATCTACCTATCTACCTACCCATCATCTATCATCTATTTACATATATATAAACATACATTTGTATATATTTTAAAAGACTGGAAACTATTGAACAAATATTTGGTGTTTGATTTGGCAGCACAAATACAAATATAATTTACATACCTCCGACTCAATAATTTCTATTAAAATATAGTCTTTGGAAATGCATACAACTATATTAACGCAGCATCATTATTAATATTGAATTTGTAAGTAATCCATTAAAAGAGGAATAAAGAAATTAACATACTGCATTGTGGGATATTATATAGTCACTAAAAATAATAGAGTACTACTTCTTTCATGTGAAAGAATGTCTATAATATTATGTTGAGTACAAACAGCAAGTTGTAGCATAGGATATAAAATATTTTGTAAAAAAGCAAGCATTGTATGTATGTGTATATACATTGTACATATAATATAGTCATATATCACATAGTACTTTATAATATTCTTATATAAAACTGTTCAGATGATTTCAAATATATAATAGACATTCATTGATTTTTTTTAATTTTATTTACTCATCTACTATTAAATACAAATTGAATGCTTGCCTAGCAAAGCACAATGCTAAGCTCTGGACCTACAGAGAAAAATAAGACAAAGTTTTATCCTCAAAGAGCTTAATAGTGAGAAGAGCTGGGCTAGAATAAAACTGAAATATACTTAAACTTTACTTGTCCCAAGATGGAAGTTCGTATGTCATACAAATACTGTGCAAGGGGCAAAATAGACATTTACTCACTGATAAAGGCTAAAGAAAAAAAGGTTCAGAGACAAGGTGGGAAATAAGGGGAGGTGCTAGAATGTACAAAGTTACTTCACAGTGGTTAAAATGGTTTAAAAGGCTTTGAAATTGTAGGATAATCTATTAAGTAGAGAATATAATGTGCTATTTACTCCATGATCTTCAATTTAATTCTAATATTATGTTTGCTTTATTAACTATTTATAATTAGTATATTAGAAAGAAATGTTCAGAGTGTTTTTTTTTAAAATTCCATAAAAATGGTTCTAGGTTTAGAAAACTAATGCAATGTGATTTTAAAATTTTCTGATTAAACAAAATGTAGATGTAAAGAATTATTAATATAGAGTACTAATCATGGCCATCTTGAAAGGAGATCTACTCATAATTCCAATATTGCATTTTAAATAATGCTAGTTATACTGCATAACACTCATAGCCTCAAGAAACAATGCCATTCAAAATCTACAACTGATAAAATTACAGAATAAAATAAAAATAATGAAAAATATTATATGAGAAGCCAGGTAAGTTGTTTATAACAGAGGTTTAGAAAATCATATGTGAATTTCACCTGAGGACTGTAATTGTGAATAGAAAGAACTTATTCCCTTAAAGCTAAAATTTTGAGGTACAAGATGTTGATTTTTCTCTCATAGAAGACAGCCTAAATGCAAAGTGGCATTCTCTTCAATTTAACCACAGACCACCACAGAACTTTTGACATCCTAAGGATTCCAATAGTAGGCACTAGTAGCTGGAAAAAAAAATCAGCCATCAAAAGTAAAAAAGAAGTGTATTGGTATTACTTAGAGTAGTTTTAAAGCCTAGGTAATGCAGTGATACTCACTGGAAGCAAAAATAGTTTCCCCAAAATTAGATGGATTTCTGGGGATTAGGCTGCATGCAGTTGTTTACAAAGTGGCAATGTCTAGGAGCTACCATAAAGAATCTTATCAGGAAATGCTGGTGAACACATCACATATGAGATATAATATATGAAAATTTTATGAATGTTGGATGTGGCTCAAGTTTTGTATCAAAATGAAACAAGAACCATAAAGATGGATCTTCACATATTTTGATCACTTGAAATCTCAACCACCAATAATGTATTTGTGAATGCTTATAACTGTTTACAATTATTACTTATTATTTAATTATGGTAAGCAACCATCCATTGTAGTCTATAATGTACCAGTACTTTTCATATCGTCATCTCATTTATACCCTACAACAACCCAACAAATTAGTTATTATTGTTTTCAACTTGCATAAGAAGAAACAGTAAAACCAAAGTTAAATAACAGATGAAGTGTTTACAGCAGTCCTGATATTTAAAACCTGGTTTATTAGAGGTCAAAACTATATTCTCCACTTTCTACTTAGCCCTGAGTTATTCTTAAGATAGTAATACACATAAGGCCCTCAACACATAGAGCAATGCCCAGCACATAAGAAGCACTCAATAAATATTTTTGGATAAAATTAGCAATATGAATATAATTTGAACAGTGTTTACTCTCACAGGTAAATACATAAATCCTAAACTAAGATTGAACACAAAGGTGATTGTCTCAACTCTGATGATACCTTGCAAAAGGAAATGGCTGATTTTTCTTTTCGTTATCCAATAAGAGCATGTTTAAAATGTGCTTTCGGCTGGGCGCGGTGGCTCATGCCTGTAATCCCAGCAATTTGGGAGGTCGAGGCGGGCAGATCACAAGGTCAGGAGATCAAGACCATCCTGGCTAACACACGGTGAAACCCCGTGTCTACTGAAAATACAAAAAAATTAGCCAGGTGCAATGGCGGGCGCCTGTAGTCCCAGCTACTCAGGAGGCTGAGACAGGAGAATGGCATGAACCTGGGAGGCAGAGCTTGCAGTGAGCCGAGATTGTGCCACTGCTCTCCAGCCTGGGCAAAAGAGTGAGACTCTGTCTCAAAAAAAAAAAAAAAAAAAAAAAAAAAGTGCTTTCTCTTTTGAGATATCTCTTTTCAAGCACTGGTTCCCCACTTTTCTAAACCTATTCAAATATGTAAATTGACTTTGGGATAAGCAAATGTATTCAAACATTTAAATAATTTAACCCTTTAGGGGGAAAAAGTAGTTAATTTTTTTTAATTGTATGTGTATTTCATTTTTGTTAACACAATGAATTACTTAAAGAAAGACAATTTTGGTGTTTACAAATGTGTCCTGGCTTGCATGCTTGGAATAGACTGCAGCCAACTCATTTCTACTAGTCAATACTTATTGATCACAATCAGAGTTATTTATTCAGCTATAGTGGTCATAAACTATAGCAATAAAATTTATTTTATGGTAATAAATTACAACTTTAATTAGAAGCTCTTTTACGTGATTATTTTCACTTGTGAGGATAACTTTATTGTTATTTAGAGCCCTTATGTACAATCAATACTCTATTAAGCCCCAAAGCTAACAGTTTGAATCAAAAATTCAAAAGCTGTCTTCAATGAAAAAATCATTATCATTATTATCTTGTTGTTTAATATTTATTGTGGACCACATTTCTTCACTAAGCTTTTACATTATTTATCTTGGTTATAAAGGTCTCAATAAAATATCCATAACAAAAATGAGAAAATTTCCTGTTTGCTCAAGCTTGAAAAGGTCATTACTTTTTACCTTGAGTTTCTCTATATGCTGAAGTAGCTAAAATTTTATTTGAACAAAGAAGCTCAGAAAAGTTAAGATTGATATCTTCAAAGGTTTCTAAAGGATGAAAAAAATTCCCCTGTATGCTTTTTGCCTTTTACTTCAGTATTATTCCAAATCAATTAGTAATCAAGCCACTTAGCAAGAGATATTGCACTTCACTCTTCCATGCTAGCTGCTATCTTTTGGTTTTACTGTTTAACATAACATGTAGAAAACGATCAATTATTCACAAACTCCTATCTTTTCTGATGTAATCCAACACACACAAAATATTATATTAGAAATTCTGCACAATTCTGATAGATGTTACTAAAATAGAGATAATTATTCAAACAAATATCACTAATAGGTAGTTACCATGTAATTCCCTAAGGGGTATACAAAATATAAGATCCAGCTTTGAATCAAGCTGGAAAAGGATTCACACACAAATTGATATGTATGTGTATATATAACAAAATATATAGAAGACATAATAAATGTGAATACAGAATTAACAAATATAAAGAGATTTCAAAAGGCAATTCATGTGTTAGTTGCCAATGAAAAGAGACAAACTCTATAAAATGTTTGAAGAGATTTATTCTGAGCCAAATACAAGTGACCATGGCCAGTGACACAGCCCTCAGGAGGTCCTGAGAACCTTGTGTCCAAGGTGGTCAGGGTACAGCTTGGTTTTATGTATTTTAGGGGGGCATGAGACATCAATCAAATACATTGAATAAGTACATTCGTTTGGTTCAGAAAGGTGGGACAACTCAAAGCAGGGGCTTCCAGACTATAGATAAATTTAAACATTTTCCGATTGAGTTTATCTGAAGACCTGGGATTAATGGAAAAGAATGTTCAGGTTAAGATAAAGGATTGTGGGGACCAAGTTTTATTGTGCAAAGGAATCTCTCAGCAGACTGAGAGAGAGAGAGCAAGTTGTAAAATGTTTCTTATGGGTCCTAAAAGGGTGCCTGGGTCTTAGTTAATTGTCTCCTAGATCTGGAAATAAAGGAAAACACAGGGGAAAGGAGATTCTCTATAGAATGTGGATTTTTCACACAAGAGACTTTGCAGGGTATCAGGGGAACCTGCCCCCAATATTTCAACGTAGGTTCTTTCTATTTTCCCTAAGTGTTGGCCAGTCTGAGAAATAAAGAGAAAGAGTACAAAGAGAGGAATTTTACAGCTGGGCCTCTGGGGGTGACATCACATATTGGTAGGTCCATGATGCCCACGTAAGCCACAAAACCAGCAGGTTTTTATCAAGGACTTCAAAAGGGGAGGGGGTGTATGAACAGGGAGTAGGTCACAAGGATCACATGCTTCAAAGGGCAAAAAGGAGAACAAAGATCACATGCTTCTGAGGCCAATAAAGATCACAAGGCAAAGGGCAAAATCAAAAACTCCTAATAAGGGTCTATGTTCAGCTGTGCACATATTGTCTTGATAAACATCTTAAACAACAGAAAACAGGGTTCAAGAACAGAGAATTGGTCTGATCTCAAATTTACCAGGGAGTGTTTTTTTTTCCCACTCTAATAAGCCTGAGGGTACTGCAGGAGACCAGGGTGTATTTCAGCCCTCATCTCCACCACATAAGACAGACACTCCCAGATCGGTCATTTATAGACCTCCCCCCAGGAATTCAATTCTTTTCCTAGGGTCTTACTATTCCTTGCTAGGAAAGAATTTGGCGATATCTCTCCTACTTATAGGCTCTCTGCAAGAAGAAAAATATGGCTTTTTTCGCCCGACCCCGTAGGCAGTCAGACCTTATGGTTAACTTCCCTTGTTCCCTAAAATCGCTGTTATTCTGTTCATTTTCAAGGTGCACTGATTTCATATTATATTGTTCAAACACACATGTTTTACCATCCATTTGTACAGTTAATGCAATCATCACAGGGTCCTGAGGTGATATACATCCTCAGCTTATGAAGATAAGAGGATTCAGAGAATAAAGTAAGACAGGCATAAGAAATTACAAGAGTATTATTAGAGAGCTGATAAATGTCCATGAAATCTTCACAATTTATGTTTCCTCTGCCACAGCTCCAGCCAGTCCCTCCATTTGGGGTCTCTGACTTCCCACAACAGCAGGGCAATTTCAAGGCTTGGTGAGGAAATATATTTTGAAATTAAATATTTTTTTCTTATCTTGCTATGCCAGAGTCAGATTGAAAGGCAAATCACAATACACAGGGTCAAATAAAACCCATCTGATAAGAATCCACGGTTTGTAGGGCACGATTCCCCAGACCCCTTAGGTAGGAATTTGGGCAAGACAAAAAATCAGAGCTTAGTCCTCATGCTGAAGGTGAGAGATATTATTTTGGAATCTATTTGGATTCATTTTTATTTAACAAGTAAGCGCTACCAGTTAGGATTATGTTCGGCTGCCAGTAAGAGATATTAAATTCCCCTAATAGTTTAAACACTCAGAATATCTGGGGGTGTGCATTTCAGGACAAATATGGCATACTTTTCTCTAAAAAGCCCTCACAGACCTAGAATCTCTTGTAAACCCAAAATATAGCCCATATTCTTATAGTCCAAAGAGTATTCCACCTTCCAGTTATTAAGAATAAGGAAAAGAATAAAGGCCAAAAGTCACATATATTCATGTATCTTTTTTATTAATTTGTTAAATGTCATCAAGGCTACTTTCACAATTTGCTCAACTTGACTAAAATTTAGACAAGTTTCTTTCTGACTATAGGCCCTGAATATGGTTTGGTTGTGTCCCCACCCAAAATCTCATCTTACATTGTAATCTCCATGTGTCAAGGATGCCACCAGGTGGAGGCAATTACATCATGGGGTGATTTCCCCCATGCTGTTCTCATGATAGTGAGTGAGTCTCAAGAGATTTGATGTTTTTATAAGCATCTGGCATTTCCCCTGCT
Source organism: Homo sapiens (assembly GCF_000001405.40). Taxonomy (NCBI): domain Eukaryota; kingdom Metazoa; phylum Chordata; class Mammalia; order Primates; family Hominidae; genus Homo; species Homo sapiens. Next base: position 69,659,053 of record NC_000013.11, on the reverse strand, counting down.
TGCCCTCACCCTGTCCTGCCATCCTGTGAAGAAGGTGCCTGCTTCTCCTTTGCCTTCTGCCATGATTATAAGTTTCCTGATGCTTCCCCAGCAATGAGGAATTGTAAGTCAATTAAACCTCTTTCCTTTATAAATTACCCAATCTCAGATACTTCTTCATAGCAGTGTGACAATGAACTAATACAGGCCTCTAGCCTCCCTTTTATTAGAGTATTTACCTTAGAAAACTTGTAATTGCAAATATTTCCCTTGCCCCTTTCAAATGTGTATAAACCTTCACTCAGCCTATTGCCCAGTTTTATAACCCAAGAATGTCTTTCTCAAGGCCTAGGAGCTATCCTTTTGGAGTGAAATTATCAAGAAAGAGTCGCTATCAGTTTCCATGAAAGGATAGGAACCTAACTTTGATGGGCACCAACTATGAAACACAGGTGGTCTAATAACAGAGGATAACATTAGCAAACTCTGGAATAACTCAACATGCTCAATGCATCCCACTGATGAGCCTACCCTACCTAGTGTCCTCTCCTCCATTACTGGGATGAATAGTACTTTTCCACTATCCATCCCAGTGCTTAACACTCTCCACCCACCATTTGGATTAACCACAGTTGAGTTCAACGTCTCTCCCCTATTGCAACTGTTCTGAATAAGGTATTTTCCCATTTAACTTTGCCCATTAGAATTTATCTTTGACAAGGAGCTTACCAGAAGCTGCAGTGTGATATTTCCACCTCAGTAGATTGACCAGACTTTGTTTCTAGGCCAAGCGGAAATGTAGTCTTTCTTATGAGCAGAAAAAACGTCTCAAGTTTATTACTCAGAAAAAAAAAAAAAGATACGCACCATTTTGAGGCAACTAACAATATTTCCATGTAACCATTTTCTTAATTGCTTTCTATGTGCCCCAAATAATAAGCTTTAAATCTTGCCATACTTTTCTCAGGTCTTTTAATGTATCATACTATTGTCAAATTTCCTTTCATTTCATGTCTTCCTTCTTTTCTTTTCCACTTATTCATTATTTAATATATAGCTACATTCATTAAAAGAAAGCCAAATAGAAAAATCTGGGTTTCCACTATCTGTTAGGGACCTTTTTTATCCAAGTAAAATTCCTTGCAAGAATGACTCAGGAGGCTGGGCACAGTGGCTCATGCCTGTAATCCCAGAATTTTTCCAGGCAAAGCAGGCAGGTTGCCTAAGGTCAGGAATTTGAGACCAGTCTGGCCAGCATGGTGAAACTCTGTCTCTACTAAAAATACAAAAAAAATTAGCCAGTCACGGTGGTGTGCACCTGTAATCCCAGCTACTGGGGAGGCTAAGGCAGGGGAAATGCTTGAACCGAGGAGGTGGAGGTTGCAGTGAACTGAGATCCCATTACTGCACTCCAGCCTTAGATTCTGTCAAAAAAAAGAAAAAAAAAAAAAAAAAGAATGACTCAAGAAAATGTGCCTGCTAAGAAATTCCAATTTTCTCTGTTGAGAAGATTAGTTTGGGAAGTCAAAGAATAAATATGCTAAAGCCCTATGCTAATGATTTTCCCCATTCAGTTAGAATTTTATCATATTTATTATTTGGTTATTTGTTAACACATCTGTATTAAGCACAGTGTTGTTATTTGGGAGTTATGAATAAGTTTTACATAGAACCTCAAAACATTAAAAAATATAGGTTTGCAAATAAATATAATAAACAACTTTAAATGGTATAAACAAATAACATATGATTCATATAGTTCAAACTACAAAGTATACATTTGATGTTGTTAAACACATAATTAAAGATAAAGAGGGGCAACCAAGAGAATTTGAAGAGTATTAATAAGAGCTGTGGATATAAAACTTGAAACGAGACCAGGCGTGGGGGCTCATGCCTGTAATCCCAGCACTTTGGGAGGCTGAGGTGGACAGATCACGAGGTCAGTAGATCAAGACCAGCCTGGCTAACATGGTGAAACCCTGTCTCCACTAAAAATACAAAAAATTAGAGGGGCATCGTGGCACGTGTCTGTAGTTCCAGCTACTCGGGAGGCTGAGGCAGGAGAATGGTGTGAACTCCGGAGGCAGAGCTTGCAGTGAACTGAGATTGCGTCACTGCACTCCAGCTTGGGCAATGGAGCGAGATGCTTGTGCAAAAATCACAAGCATTCTTATACACCAATAATAGACAGAGACAAATCATGAGTGAACTCCCAATCATAGTTGCTAAAAAGAGAATAAAATACCTAGAAATCCAACTTACAAGGGCTGTGAAGGACCTCTTCAAGAAGAACTACAAACCACTGCTCAAAGAAATAAAAGAGAACACAAACAAATGGAAGAACATTCCATGCTCATGGATAGAAAGAATCAATATTGTGAAAATGGCCATACTGCCCAAGGTAATTTATAGATTCAATGCCATCCCCGTCAAGCTACCAATGACTTTCTTCACACAATTGGAAAAAACTACTTTAAAGTTCATATGGAAGCAAAAAAGAGCCCACATTGCCAAGACAATCCTAAGCCAAAAGAACAAAGCTGGAGGCATCACACTACCTGACTTCAAACTATACTACAAGGCTACAGTAACCAAAACAGCATGGTACTGATAACAAAACAGAGATATAGACCAATGGAACAGAACAGAGGCCTCAGAAAGAATACAAAACATCTACAACCATCTGATCTTTGACAAACCTGACAAAAACAAGAAATGGGGAAAGGATTCCCTATTTAATAAATGGTGCTGGGAAAACTGGCTAACCATATGTAGAAAGCTGAAACTGGATCCCTTCCTTACACCTTATACAAAAATTAATTCAAGACGGATTAAAGACTTACATGTTAGACCTAAAACCATAAAAACCCTAGAAGAAAACCTAGGCAATACCATTCAGGACACAGGCATGGGCAAGGACTTCATGTCTAAAACACCAAAAGCAATGGCAACAAAAGCCAAAATTGACAAATGGGATCTAATTAAACTAAAGAGCTTCTGCACGGCAAAGGAAACTGCCAGCAGAGTGAACAGGCTACCTACAGAATGGGAGAAAATTTTTGCAATCTGCTCACCTGACAAAGGGCTAATATCCAGAATCTATAAAGAACTCAAACAAATTTACAAGAAAAAAACAAACAACCCCATCGAAAAGTGGGCAAAGAATATGAACAGACACTTCTCAGGAGAAGACATTTATGCAGCCAACAGACACATGAAAAAATGCTCATCATCACTGGCCATCAGATAAATGCAAATCAAAACCACAATGAGATACCATCTCACACCAGTTAGAATGGCAATCATTAAAAAGTCAGGAAACAACAGGTGCTGGAGAGGATGTGGAGAAATAGGAACACGTTTACACTGTTGGTGGGACTGTAAACTAGTTGAACCATTGTGGAAGACAGTGTGGCGATTCTTCAAGGATCTAGAACTAGAAATACCATTTGACCCTGCCATCCCATTACTGGGTATATACCCAAAGCATTATAAATCATGCTGCTATAAAGACACATGCACACGCATGTTTACTGTGGCACTATTCACAATAGCAAAGACTTGGAACAAACCCAAATGTCCATCAATGATAGACTGGATTAAGAAAATGTGGCACATGTATACCATGGAATACTATGCAGCCATAAAAAAGGATGAGTTCATGTCCTTTGTAGGGACATGGATGAAGCTGGAAACCATCATTCTCAGCAAACTATCACAAGGACAAAAAACCAAACACGACATGTTCTCACTCATAGGTGGAAAGTAAACAATGAGAACACTTGGCCACAGGAAGGGGGACATCACACACTGGGGCCTGTCGTGGGGTTGCGGGAGGTGGGAGGGATAGCATTAGGAGATATACCTAATGTAAATGATGAGTTAATGGGTGCAGGACACCAACATGGCATGTGTATACATATATAACAAACCTGCACGTTGTGCACATGTACCCTAGAACTTAAAGTAAAATAAAATAAAAAAACCTTGAAATGGTCACCCATATAAAATAGAGAAAGAAAAGAAAACATGGAAAAACAGACACACTTGAAGCAAAACTATAGTCATCCCTTATGGTTTAGTGTGGATAAAGCATAGCAGAGCCCTAGGGTTGGTATACCGCTATAGCAGAGATCAGCATATGAGAAACATTTACTGTTGTTCTGATGTGCTGGATGGAAGGAGCCCTTAGGTTGATAGAGAGAAACAGAGTTACTTCTGTGGCTGTACATCCTACTGCCTTCTGCAATCTATCACTTAAAGTTAGGTATGTAAAAGGAAAGACACCTTCAGCTATTTGGCCTTTAAATATATATATATATATATATATATATATATATATGTTTACTAATGAGATCGGACATAATATTTGTGTTGTGTCGAGTCATTTGTATTGCTTCATTTTAAAAATATTTCTCTTTCCCTGTTGCAAGAACAAAAGGCTGTCGTTATCTAGACACGTGTGTCCAAATTACATCAGACATTCACCCCTCATGGGATAAACATTGTGAGGTCAAGAAACAAAATGCGATGATTTTTTAAGGTTCAGGTTGTACATTCAATTCCTCTGAATCTAGGGATGGATTTTTTCACCCAATTTATTCAAGTTTCTTTGAATTTACTCAAAGAAAGTCAGGGAACCCTTACCAAAACAAAATGAAATGGACTGCCAGAAACAAGTTTTCCTTTGCAACTAAATTTTAATTTTTTTTGCCATTTAACATTCATTGTAAGTAATTATGCTGAAATAGATTTTTACCAGAGATTTATCTTTAGTGTTGACTAATTGCTTAATTACCATTATTAAATACTTATTCAATTTGAAATTTATTTTTTATGTGAATGTCTGTTTTAATAATCTTTCTTCTTCTTTGAGATCATTGTCTCTCTCTGTCTCTGTTTGACACTAAAATATTGTCCCAAATTGTTAAAGTTTTAATAAAGTGCTTTAATGCAATTTAAGGAAAACATCTCTGTAATACCTCCCAATTTCAATACAGAAATACAAACAAATCTTTTAAAAAACTACTTGCAGTGGTATCCAAACATATACAACTAAATTGCGGTTTTTTGAAAGAAAAAACAACGTCTACTTTGTTTACTTTCGTTTGCCTAATCCTGAAGCTGAATGGTAATTTGGTTGGGAAAACAAATGCAAACACAATTTTGGCAGTGATTACCTATGCATGGTGAGATTTCGAATGATAATTATTTAGGGAGTGGTAAGATAATTATGTTATTTATTAAACATATATTAATGTCCTATTTTTATTGGTGAAAAATTACACTATGATTGATTAGCAGTGACTCTGGATCAGAATAAACTCCACTAAATATTACAGTGCTCAATGAATATAGACTTATGAAAATGATCAAGAATTCCCTTTATACAGTCACAAACAGTTATAGTGAAAAATCTGAGAGAATTGATCAGCGCCTAAAAGAATTTAATTACAAAATTAGAATATTCAGGCATGTCACTTCCACATGGAAAATCTTATACCTAACACATCTGTAGAGCTTTGCAATTTATTATTTTACCCTATCATTTATTTCATGTCCTACAGTATTGACTTAACATGTTGTTGTTCTAAAACAGATTTTAATGTTGGTGTTACATTTTTTGGTAGCCTTATCACCTTTTCATTTCTCAGCCTACACCCTTCTTCTTGTCAAATATATTTCACCCAACTAACTTTTAAATATCCTTTTGTTATTTCTTTATTAAAATTTCATTTTAGCTTCTATTTTACATTGATAATGCAGTTACAGTTCAAAGAATATTATTAAATTACTTATGTGGATTTTTTTTCTTTAAAATAGTACACTATAAGCCAAATTGGGAACAAAACAATGTCATGTTAGACATAACAGAGAAGGAATTGGTAGATGTGAAATAGAACACTGTAATGTCAAAAAGCCAGGTAGTTTACGTTAAGATGATAAGTGTAGAAAAACTACAGGCACAACTCAGCATGTAAAACATAATATTTCAGAGGTATATTTCTGGGAAATATCAAGGTCTTAGGTGTTCTTACAATGTGTGATTTTCTAAATAGATATAAAGAAAAAGATTGTGGTTGTTATAGACATCAAATTCTTAGTGCCTGTTTATAATATGATCACCTATGTGGATACTGAAGTCACTAATGTATAATAATAAAGTTCATTGTTAATCAGGTTGAAATATTGCTTGTGAGATGAGAGAGGGCACTTTTTTTTCTTTGTTTTCTTTCTTTCTTTTTTTTTTTTTTTTTTTTTTTTTTGCTTAACTAAAATTATTTTAGATGAGAAACAAGGTGGCATTAGCTGGCAATAAGGTTCCAGGAGGTAAATGTGGAAATCTTAGGAGGAGAAAGACGTCTAAAAACACTGTCGATTTCTCAACTTGCCATCTCCTCCCAGTCAGCAGTCTACAATTTTTATTGACATTCTAAAGAAAATGTTACTGAGTGACTCTCATGATCCCAAAATGTGGACCATAAGACTATTCCTGTCATCAGAACCCCAAAAAAACCAACATTACAGCCCAGATTGTACCAGAAAGAATTCTCTGATTCTGTGTCTTCTGATAGAAAACAAAAAGTGGACTGCTTCATTTGGAAGCCTTATTATTAATGGGCTGAATTAGAGTCTTTCTAAGCAGGCAAAGATATTCAGTGCCTACTCACAATAATTCATTTCAATAGAGAGCTAATAGAGAACAAGTTTTTATTTATGTTTACTTATTTCAATGAGTGAGTGAGAATAAAAATCATCAATGTACTCCCTTAATAGGCTGAAAACCACAAAACATATTATACATAATATTTCTGAGGGAGGAAAGACACTAACATTTTTCAATCCACAATATTCTTGCACTGCAAGAAGTGTTTACATATGTCATCCTAATTAATTATATGTTAAATTGTTAGTGCCATAAATGTGTCATGTATTCATTTTAATAACATATGAATTATATTCAAAATACTGCTATGTTGGATGAAAAATACAATCATCATAGAATAAAATTTAGCATTAGATTTGTAATGTATCCCTGTAAGATTTCTGCTTAAAAAACATTCTCAAGAATTAAGCTGACAGATAAACATAATCAAAAATACTTTGATCAGTAATTAATTCAGAAGAGGTTTATTTAAGCCAGCAAATTCTGTTTCCTTCTATTTACTTGTTTTCTAGTAGAACTTTATTTTAAACTTTCCTTTTCATCTAATAAATTTCTTACTTAAGGTTAAATGATATTATCTTACTTTTCAATGTTGGTCTCACTCAGTTATTTGGCTTCTCTAGTTTTGCTTATTTGTTTATTTGTTTGTTTCTCTAGTCTATGTTAAAACTTATTTTAATGCACTGCAAGATATGTATAAAACAGCTGAAAGAACAGAAATAAGCAAGAATTAAAATAATTGAGACTTTAGCAAGAGTATTGAAAATTGCTTAATATCAAGAATGGAAAAGACACTAGAGGAGAAGAGAATGTATAAAAAGCAAAGATGTAAATAAGCTATCATTTAGCAAAAATAATCAAATGGCAACCTAAGGAATACAAAGGAAAGAAAGCACTTAATGAGACCCAAATGCTGATTAGAAGTTCTGAGATTTGGTTAAGATATTTATAAAATATCCTTTTAAATTCCCAAGCAACAATGCACTGAATGTTTTTATTCAATCAACAAATACATGTATTTATTGATTGAAAAAATGCATATGAGTGTCCAATCAGTGCATAATTTTGTAGTTGTCTTTTTTCTCTGCCCTATGTATTTTCTTTAATTTTTTAGAGAGAGATCAATACAAGAGCAGTATAAGCTATAATATTGCCTAGTATTTAAAAACTTGGTAACATGTGACAGTCAGTTATTCAATGTGTGTCCTTGGACAAATTTTTATGATTTGAAATGAAAATAATTACACAACTCATTAGTAGGGTTGTTAAGAAAACCAAATAAAATAGTGTATATTATGGTTTAACATTACTTTTCCTATTTGCCTGTTACTTACTTCTGAGAGCCTCTCTTCAACATATAAATGAGCACTACCTCACATGCAACCAAAGTAAGCAGTATCTTTTGATGGATTCTTTACTTTTTCTTGCAATATCCAAGATATCTTTTATGTCTATACACATTCTGTAGGTAATCACACCCAGTCTTATGTCTTTAAATACTATCTATATGTTTAGAAACTTCTACATTGATAGCTCCAGCTCATATTTTTTTCTTCAGTCCTCTAAATCCACATTTCCAACCTTCCCTACAATGCCTCTAATGACAAATATCTTAAATATGACACAGGCACAACTGAGCTCTTGAATGTCTCCAGATCCAGTCTCAGTCTATCATACATCAGTTCATGGTATCTCATCACTCTAGTTGCTCAGGCCAAAAAAAAATAAAACAAAACATTAGCACTATCCTTGAATTCCCCCTTTTTGCCTGAGATCTCATTCAATTTGTGTGGAACTCTTGTTGGAGCTTCTTTCAAAACTTATCCACATTTCGCCTTTCCTATGCACTTTGGTCAAAGCCATCATTTCTCCTGTGGACAATAGTAATAGCCTTTAAATGGAAATAGACTTTCACGTTTGTCTGCCTGAAAGCAGATTTTATAAAAAGTTACAGAAATAAATCTCTCAAAATACAACTCATATCATGTCACCAATCTGTTCAAACTCTGAGTGAAAGCCAATTACCATTATCTCTCTGATCTCATCCCTTGCTGCACTCAGCTAGGTTGCTGTACTCTCAAATTTCTTACCTGCTCTACATTATTTTTCATAGCATTTATCACTTTCCAAAATACTTGGTGATTTATTTCACTAACATTTTTATTATTTATTATTTTGTCTCCAATTTGAGGAACAGAAGGAAAGTTCCACAAGGGAGGGAGATTTTATTTCTTTGCTGGTACATTCTAGGTGCTTAGAATTGTAGCTGGTACATAGTAGGAGGTCAGTAGATATTTGTCAAATGACTAGTTTCTACTCAGTATTTCAGCTACCCGTGACAGGGTAGACTACTCCCTTCTTTTACAAGTCTCTCCTTTCTGGCTCTGGTATACAGAACACCTGTGCTTTATATCATGATTCTGGTCACTTCCCTAGTTCTACTTCCTATCCCTATCTTGACATTCATTCCTAACCTCTCTTCCTTTTTACCTCTCTCCATATAATGTCAAAAATTACATGGTTTGAATGCCAAAAATATGGCAACAACGTAAATTTACATAGGTCTCTCCATCAAAAACCTTAATGTTTCACTTCACACACATGTATCCAACTTTCTACATAACATATTGATTTGGTTAACTTACCATCATTTCCAACTTAACAGAATGTCCCAATCACCTTATTTCTCCTAAAGACCTATTCATGCTGGCCTCAGTAAACATGACTATTAGCCAAGCATGGTGGCTCATTCCTATAATACCAGCACTTTGGGTGGCTGGGGCAGGTGGATCACTTGAGGTAAACAGTTTGAGACCAGCGTGGCCAACATAGTGAAACGTGGTCTCTACTAAAAATACAAAAATTAGCCAGGTGTGGTGGCACATGTCTGTGGTCCCAGCTCCTTGGGAGGCTGAAGAGGGAGGATTACTTGAACCTGGGAGGTAGAGGTTGTAGTGAGCTGAGATTTCACCACTGCACTCCAGCCTGGGTGACAGAGCAAGACTGTCTCAAAAAAAGAAAAAATTGCTGATTGCTCTAGGGAGTTGGCTACACAATTGAACAAAAATCAATACATAACAATAATAATTTTTAGAATGTCATAATATTTTAGTGGTTGAAAAAAACTCTGGGGAAATTAAATCGGCTTTCTCATTTCATAGCTAATTTATAGCTCTCAGAAGTTAGAAAAATTAGCAATGGTTACACATAAGCAATGACAGAATGTCACCTAGAGCCCAATTATTCTTGCTAGTTTTTCATTATCACTTGACTTTGTGCTCGTTGATTCAGTCACATTGTTTTTTAAGAGTGTATTTCTTCACTTTCTAGCAGTAATATTTTATTTGTCCAATTAGCCTCCTATTATACTATAAGAAACACAAAGGTAAGAAATATATCTACTTTATATGTGTTCTGATACAATCTAGTACAGTGGCAAGCTCATAATGACATATTGAATGACTATGAAAATGTCAATTCCTGCAGGATAGTTCCCTGAGTGGCCGTGGACTGACCCGATTTTTCTCTCCCTCTTACTAGGTCTCAAAAATAACTATAGAATGTACTGGGAACGCAACATCTTAAGACTATGAGGAACTGGCCAGAGCAGTCTGGTCTTGGTTTGTCTCACCTAGAAACAGAATATTTTTCATTTATTAAGTGTGGCATGTCATGTGACCCCTAGGACATAAAACCCAAGGTGGGCTGCATTTTGGGGTCCTCCTATTGTGGTGCAAGTGGGGACACATGCAGACTGATTCCATCTGTGCTGGGAAGCTTTTCTGAGCCTTGAGAAACTGGCTCAAAATGAAACCTAGGCTTCTGTTTCCCCTTGCTGCCTATCTTTAAGCAATAAATCTGCTTCTTGTAATTTGTGTGAGTTTTCTGTCTCACAGGACCTGTGCAAGTGATAAAAATTGGCATGGTAACCAGTGCACAGTGAACCTGCTTTCATTCCTTGAAATAATACTATATCTTCATGAACAGAACATGTCAATTACAATTTTCAGGGTTCTGAGAAGAATGTGATGCATAGTAACAGTTTATATGTATATTTTATGGTTTTCTTTAAAACTCTGGGTGCCCTGGATTATTTGAAAATAAAATAATGTTGATTCTTATACTTTTAAGTTTAATTTCAAATACCCAATAATCTTCTTATACATTGAATATATGTGTGAATTATGTCTTCATTCTGGTATCTATGATAGCAGTTTTTGTGAACCAATGGAAAAACCTCTAAAATGGGATTTTGTGTTTTCTAAAGATGACTGTTGTTGCAACATAATATTTTAAGTAATGCAATATAGTATTATTCCAGTCAATAAAGCCATATTATTACCTAAAATACTGTAGTATTTCAAACATAAAGTGTATCTAATATTTAATTTTACTTTAATAATTCTGTAATTTCCACCTTTGTGTCATCTTTTTTTTACTCTTTTTGTACAAAAGTCTCATTTTTAAAGTGATTTGATTGAAAATTAGAATTATTTGTAATATATTTACCATATTATGTTTACATTTAGCAGAGCTATTTCATATTTCTTTTCTGCCACATTCAAATAAATGCTATGTAATCCTGATCAATTGTGAAAGACAGCACATTGTCTCCACTCCTTCTTCCCGGACATCAAATAACATGATGAACATTTGCAAAGAAATAGAGATAAGGAGTGGTATGCTAGTAGTTCAGGGGTAACAAGAAAGAAAAGTACATTATATTATTTATAAAATTATATCAAGTCATTGAAATATTTTGATATTCAAAAAATTATATCAAGTCATTGAAATATTTTGATATTCAATTTCTTATAGCTTAAAATATGGTTAATAATTACATCAGAAATCAAATATAAATTTTAAGACATAATTGGTGGAGAATGTTCAATAGCAGATAGCACTACTGATCATGTCTTTAAACTAGTTATATATTATTTACATGTTTTCCTGTCAGGCTTTCAGTACTTTAATAAACATCAAATTTTTCATACATATAAAACATATGCATATAAAAATGCTATATATACGTACATATATAGTGATTTAACAGTTGAATATCTTATTCCAAATACACACACATACAGATGTGTGTGTATAGGTATAAAGATAGCCCATTAAATTACGAGAGAGAGAGAATGATATAGAGATATTTTATGTGGCTCTCTTATTAAATTGCTGAAAACATGAAAGAAAAGCTTGCAAAACATCATATATTTATTTTCACCTTTTATAAAGATACGTGTCTGTTAAAGTCCAGCTGATATGAATTTACCTAAAAAGAACAGCTATGTGTATTTCTGTTTTCCTGTGACCAAAAACCATGAAGTACTATGGGTTTTCTCATTTTACTTTGCTTATTTGGCATACGTGAGTTTAGATTAGACATTGTGTATTATTCTAATATATTGTTTCAATAGATTATTTATAAATTTCATTTAGACAACCAGCTAGAAAAATCTAGGGAACTACGGAAGGAAATGCCATATTTGTGTTTCATTTTAATTCCATGTTTTCACCAAAATCTCATAAATGCTTAAATTTAATACATAGACATATTAGTCCATTCTCACATAGCTATAAAGAAATACCCGAGAATGGATAATTTATAAGAAAAGAGACTGAATGTGCTCACGGTTTCAAAGTCTGTCCAGGAAGCATGGCAGCATCTGCTTCTGGGGAGGCCTCAGGGAGCTTTTACTCATATCAAAGCTGGAGCAGGCATCTTCACATGGCAGGAGAAGGAGGAAGAGTTACGGGGGAGCTGCTACACACTTCTATCCCTTTTTCCATTTGCCCTGAGAATACCTGCCAGTGGCACTTGCAGCTGCAGCATTTACCCTGAGATAACTTTGCCACAAAATATCTCACTTTTATTATTATTTTCACATTGCTGTAGTATATCAATTTTGGAAACAAAAGACATTATTCTGTTTATAGCATTCTGTTCTTAGTAGTAGTATTTTTGTTTATAAAATATAGTAATTCTCAATCACTGAAAATGTCAAATCCTAGAAAACATACCATTCTTATGTGTTATGTTAACATCGTTCTCAAACAATTGTTCAAAAGATTCATTTGATGATTCTGATTTTTTCAAAATAGATGATTCTGATAATTCAGATGATTCTGATGTTAGTTCTCCTTAAATATAACTCCAAGAACAGTTTTTATATTTTATTTTCACACTGAAATCAGTCATATTTTCTTCAGCCTAAAAGAGCATGCCTATGTAAAATTAAATAAATTTAAAAGGTATGTAAAATTAAATGAGCACTGGCAGTGAGCTGCACTTACTATTTTATTTATTTATTTATTTATTTTCTAAATGGGAAAAGGGTTATACAGTCAGATACTGTGATAACTCTATCAAGAAAACAGCACAAGGGAGGTAGTGCTAAACCATTCAGGAGGAACTGGCCCTGTGATCCAATCACCTACCATCAGGCCCCAAGTCCAACACTGGGGATTATAATTTGAAATGAGATTTGGGCAGGGACACAGATCTGAACCATATCATTTCACCTCTGGCCCCGCCAAATATCATGTCTATCTCACAAATCAAAATATCATTACGCCTTTAGGAGCAGTGGCTCACACTTATAATCCCAGCACTTCAGGAGGCCAAGGCGGGTGGATCACCTGAGGTCAGGAGTTTGAAACCAGCCCCTTCAACGTGGTGAAACCCCATCTCTACTAAAAATACAAAAATTAGCTGGGCATGGTGGCACATGCCTGTAATCCCAGCTACTTGGGAGGTGAAGCAGGAGAATCACTTGAACCGGGAGGCACAGGTTGCAGTGAGCCAAGATCCCACCACTGCACTCCAGCCTGGGCTACAGAGTGAGACTCTGTCAAAAAAAAAAAAAAAAATAAATAAATAAATCATTATGTCTTCCCAACAGTCTACCAAAGTCTTACCTTATTTTAGCATCAACTCAAAAGTCCAAAGTCCAAAATATCTGAGACAAGGCAAGTCCTTTCCATCAATGAGCCTGTTTAAAAAAAAAAAAAAATTACCTCCAAGATACAATGGGGGTATACGCATATAGGCATTGGTTAAATACTCCTATTCTAAAAAGGAGAAAATGGCCAAAAACAAAGGGGCTACAGGCCCCATGCAGGTCCAAAACCCAGCAGGGGAATCATTACATCTTAAAGCTCCTAAATAACCTCCTTTGACTCCATGTTCCCTATCCATCCAGAGCACACTGGTGGAAGCGGTAGGCTCCCAAGGCCTTAGACATCTCTTCCTCTGTGGCTTTTCAGGGTGCAGCCCCTGCAGCTCCTGTCATGGGCTGGCATTCAGTGCCTTTGGCTTTTCCAGGCACACAGTAGAAGCTGCCAGTGGATCTACCAGTTGGGTGTCTGGAGGACAGTGGTCCTCTTTTCAAAGCTCCATTAGGGGGCATCCTAGTGAGAACTCTGTAATTGGGGATCCAAACCCCAGATTTCCTCTTTGTACTACCCTAGTAGAGGTTATCCATGAGGGCTTTGCACCTACAGAAGGGTTCTGCATGGGCTTACAAGCTTTTCCATACATCCTCTGAAACGTTGGTGGAGGCTCCCAGGCCTCAACTCTTGCAGTCTGCACACCTGCAGGCTTAACATCATATGCAAGTCACCAATGCTTATGCCTTGCACCCTCTGGAACAGTAGTCTGAGCTATACCTGAGCCCCTTGGAGCCACAGCTGGAGCTGGAGTGGCTAGGATTCAGAGAACAGTGTCCTGAGGCTGCACAGGGCATCAGGGGCCTGGCCCTGGCACACAAAACCATTTTTTCCTCCAAGGCCTCCAGGCCTATGATGGGAGGGGCTGCCAAGAAGGTCTCTGAAATACCTTCAAGACCTTTCCCTCATTGTCTTTGATATTAGCACTTGGCTTCTCTTCACTTATGCAAATTTCTGCAGCCTGCTTGAATTCCTCCCCAGCAAATGGGTTTTGCTTTTCTACTGCATGGCCAGGTTGCAAAGTTTCTAACCATTTATGCTCTGCTTCCTATTTATTTATTTATGTATTTATGTATGTATGTATTTATTTATTTACTTTTGAGATGGAGTCTCACTCTTTCACACAGGCTGGAGTGCAGTGGTGGAATCTTGGCTCACTGCAACCTCCATCTCCCAGGTTCAAGCGATTCTCCAGCCTGAGCCTCCTGAGTATCTGGGATTACAGGCATGTGCCACCATTCCCAGCTAGTTTTTTAATGTTTTTGTTTTTTTTGTATTTTTGGTAAAAAGACAGGGTTTCACCATGTTGGCCAGGCTGATTTTGAACTCGTGACCTCAAGTGGTCCGCCTGCCTCAGCCTCCCAAAGTGCTGGGATTACAGGCATGAGCCACTGCATCTGGCCTTACTTCCCTTTTAAATATATGTTCCAGTTTCAGGTCATTTCTTTCTTTATGCAAATGAGCACAGGCTTTTACAAGCAGCTAGGCCACTTCTGGAACACTTTGCTGCTTAGACATTTCTTCTGCTACATACTCTTAAACATCTCTTTCAGTTTCATAGTTCCAAGATTGCTAGAGCAGGAACACAGTGCAGCCAGGCTCTTTGCTAACACATAGCAAATATGACCTTTACTCCAGTGCCCAGTAGGTTTCTCATTTACATCTGAGACCTCCTCAGCCTGGACTTCATTGTCCATATCACTGTCAACCTTTTGGTCACAACGATTTAACAAGTTTCTAGAAAGTTTCAAATTTTTCTTCATCTTCTCTTCCTTTTCTGAGCCCTCCATGCTCTTCCAACCTCTGCCCATTACCCAGTTCCAAAGCTGCTTCTACATTTTCAGGTATCTTTATAGCAATGTCCCATTTCTTGGTACCAGTTTTCTATATTAGTCTACCACTTTTGCATTCCTAATAAGAAATACTTGAGACTGATTAAATTATTTAAAAAAAGTGGTTTAATTGGCTCATGGTTCTGCAGGCTGTGCAGGAAGCATGGCAGCATCTGCTTCTGGGGAGGCCTCAGAGAGCTTTTACTCATGGTGTAAGGCAAAGCTGGAGCAGGCATCTTGGCATGGCAGGAGCAGGAGGAGGAGAGAGATAGGTGAGGTGCTGCACATGTTTAAACGACCAGATCTCCTAAGAACCCTATCACAAAAACAGCACTAAGAGAATGGTGCTAAATGCTTAATGAGAAATTTCCCCAGTATCTAATCAACTACCACCAGGTTCCATCTCCAACACTGGGGATTACAATTCAACATGAGATTTAGGCAGGGACACAGATACAAACCATATTAGTAGAAAATTAAATATGTCAAGAAATATCAAGATAAAGGTATTGTAATATGCAATGGGTTGTAAAATGGTTGTACTGACCATCAAAAACTCCTTCCTTTGTTGACTATGATTGCATAAAGCACAGATTCAGGAAATTTTTACTGATCATAACAAATTCACTGGAATTTGGTAAAAGGAAGACTTTAAGAAGCTACCTCCAGGAGAGAACACAAAGAATGTGGCCAAAAGAAGGAATCCTTTCTTCTCTCCTTCTCATTATGACTCTTATTCATTGCAAACCAATATCTGAATCTAACCAAATCTCTGAGTTCAAGCGAGTTCATTTGAAGATGTCTTTGCTGTCTGCATTGTTATGAATTAATAAATTGGAGAGAAGGAACACTTTGAATCATGAAACTTAAAATTAATGAAGTGAGAACTTTTCTGATTTTTTGAGATATAATAATCACTGTAGCTAGAAGCAGCAGAAAAAAATACTTTTGGCTTTTCATAAGGGCAAAATCCAAAATTGTCAAAATATTGTAATAATCCCATGTTGGTAAGGTTAAGGCAGATATATATTTTCATAAAGCCTAAAGTCTCTACTCTGTATATGTTGAATTTGTATGCACAGAAGAGAATTACTTGGAGTGTGAATTCCCAGTTTCAGTGAAGAATCAAAGTTGTAAACATAAAACTAATGGTTACAATATAGATAAAATGTTAATAAAACAAGTGTACATAATATAGATTTTATTTTAGCCACATTCTTTACTTTCTTAATACAGCTTATACCATAAAAAGCACTGAGAAAGTATTTACATATCAACATAAATTATTTTTTTAATTTATAAGTTATTTCTTAATGATTATTTTTTCCACTATGGATTATTTTTGATAGTGGAAGTAAAGTAAATATAAGAAGTACAGAAATCTGAACTGGTTGTATAGATAGACATATGACTAAAAATAGTTACCATTCAACAATGTTTAAATGTAGTGTAGTTTATTTTAATAGCATGGGAAAATATTTTGTCATAAGATATGTGTATCAATATGTAAGACTACTATCCAATTACTGAATGAAACAGTAATTAATTTGAGCAGCTCCTAATAAATTTCTGAGCTATATGCATAAACCTTGGCAGGTGTTAGACAACATGGTAAGCTCTGAAATTCTGCCAGATGTCAATGATAATAACTACTTGACAGTGATAAGCATAAATTATTAGCAAAGAGAATCACTTCAAGGAGATTACTCCTGTCAAGCCTCAGCTGGCTGTAACTAGGAGTGAATATAACATTTGCTTTGATGTCCCCTAGGGCTTGCTCTCAGAGGAAAAGTGGGTAGATAGAGAAAAAACTTTCTTCTAATTTCTAGAAAATCTGTCTTCTGTGCTAAAGAAAAGAAAACTTAGGACAACATAATATATTATTAATATTACATTTTATTATCTTGGAATAATAAAGGACTGGACTGATATTCTTGACAACATAAGTTCTTCTCTACCTCTTAATATGAAAGTTCACTTTAATTTAAAATGTTTACTATTTTCACCTTTTGGCTTCAGGAAAACGCTAAGGGTTGAATTAATACAATGTTCCTCAGCCTGTATACTGAAAAATATAATCAAATATTTGAAAAGAATTGTCTAGTACATTAAACAAATACATGTATTTTTATGATATGGCTGTTTTCCACCCTCCTTTCCTGTCTGGCAACACATATGTATCCCACATCCATTGATAATAAACTATTTTAAACTGTGTTTTATATTAATGTCTGAGTTAGGTTATTATGAGTTAGAATAAGATTTGTACCCAAAACATTAACAAAAGAGAAAAAGTTGAATTCCAAATAAGTAGAATATAATAATTCTTTAATTTCAACTTACACTAAAATTGCATGAAAAGAATAAAGTGAAACTTTTTACACGTAGTTTTTTTTTGGTTCAAAACATAAGAAACAAAAAGATCAAATAATATATTTTTTCAATAATTCTAATGTCTTTAAGCATTTGAATTTTTCTTATGCAATGTGATAGATCTCTTAATGTAGTAGTCATTTAAAACTGAACTATTTGCTCCCCACCAATACATAGAATCCAGGCTTCATTTTTTCTTACTTTTAGATTCATGTGGATAGATTTTACAAATCCATAGGTGCTAAAACAACAGGTAACAAAGTGAGGACCATAAAAACTCAGTGAGTTTCCTTCTTTGGCAGTAATTTTCACTTTTTCCATTAGAGTAGAGCAATAAAAATGCTGAGAGAAAAATCTTAATAGGATATATGGCAATTTCCAGCCCTGATGGCTGAGTTTTAATCTTTTCTATAAGCTGAACCTGCCACTACTCTACTCTTTTGAGTAGTAGATCTACTGTGTGTGTGTATGTGTGTGTGTGTGTGTGTCTGTATGAGAGAGAGAGACAGAGAGATAGAGAGAGAGAGAATGTTTCACAGAACTCCAAGACTCTCAGTGAAGTAGTGGCTTTCTTTAATTTTTACGATATAAAGGAACTAGAAAAGAATCACTTGATGAAGGCAATTAATATTAAAAATTTTGTGTACTAAAATAAAAAGAAGCAGTGGAATCAAAATTAATATGTTGTTAATTTTTTCATTAATACCACAATAGTTAAAGGAACTCTACTCTCTTAAGTATTTAGTATATATAGTAACAAAAATTTATTTGGGCAATAATGTTTCAGTTTTACAAAGTGAAATCTGTATATGATAAAAAAACCTTCAAGTATTACATCACATGAAACTTGTATATTATCTAGAAATTACTACTCCAAAAAGAAAATATTCTGGGATAGGAAATTATCTCAAAAGAAGGGTACTTAACAATTTGCTTTGAGGTAGTGTAAGATGGCCAAATACAAACCTCCACTGATTGTTCTCCCCACAGGAACACTAAATTTAACAACTATCCATACAAAGAAAAAGCACCTTAATAAGAACCAAAATTCAGGTAAGTGATTATAGTACATGGCTTTGAATTTATATCACTGAAAGAGGCACTGAAAAGGGTAGGAAAGACAGTCTCAATTACTGATGCCACTCTTCCCCCATCCCCAAGCAGTGGCCATGTTGCATAGAGAGAATCTGTGCATCTGAGGGAGGGAGAGCACAATGATTGCGGGACTTTGCGTTGGAACTCAGTACTGCCCTGTCATAGTGGAAAGCAACGCTGGGAAGAACTCAGCCAGTGCCCATGGGGGGAGCTTTTAGATCAGCTCTAGCTAGAGGAGAATCCACTCTAGCTCATTCCAATGGTCAGAATCTGAGTTCTCACAAACCTTAGTACCACAGGCTAAAGGGCTCTGGGGTTTAAATAAACTCAAAAGGCAGTCTGAACCATAAGGACTGCAATTCCTGGGCAAGTCTTGATGCTGTGCTGAGCTTTAAACCAGTAGACTTGAGGGGCACACAACCTAGTGAGACACCAGCCAAGGTGGCCAAGGGAGTGCTTGTGTCATTCCTCCTTCAACCCCAGGCAATGCAGCTTGCAGCTTTGGGAGATACTTCTTCCTTCTTCTTGAAGAGTGGAGAGGGAAGCGTAAAGAGGACTTTGTCCTACAACTTGGATACCAGCTCGGCCACAGTAGAGTAGGGCATTGGGCAGAGTCATGAGGTCCCCATTCCAGACCCTACCACGTGCATGGCATTTCTAGACACACCCTGGGCCAGAAAAGAACCTGCTACCTTGAAGGGAAGGATCAAGTCCTGGCAGGATTCATCATCTGCTGACCAAAGACCCCTTGGGCCTTGCATAATCAGAAGTGGTAGCCAGGTAGTACTCACCATGGACTTTGGGTGAGACTCTGAGATGTGCTGGCTTCAGGTGTGTCCCAGCACATTCCCAGCTGTGGTGGCTCAAGGGAGAGACACCTTCTGCTTGAGAAAATAAGAGGAAAGAATAAAGGGGACTTTGTCTTGCAGCTTAGGTAGCCGCTCAGCCACAGTGTGGTAGAGCACCAAGTCTGCTCTTGGAGTTACCTATTCAAGGCCTTGGCTCTTGGACAGAATTTCTGGATCTATACTAGAACAGAGGGGAGCCTATTCTCCTGAGGGAAGTGTCTCAGGCCTGGCAGACTTCACCACAACTTGAATGAAGAGCCCTTGGGCCTTGAGGGAATATTGGTAATAGCCAGGAGGTTTTTGCTATGGGCCCAGGGTGATAGTGGCCATTGGGTGAGACTCCTTTGCTTATGGAAAGGAAAGAGCAGAATGGAAAGGACTTTGTATTGTGTCTTGGGTGCCAGCCCAGCTGCAGTAGAGTAGAGCATCAGGTAGATTCCCAGGGTTTCCAACTCCAGGCCCAGGATCTCGGATGGCATCTCTGGACCTGGGGCCAGGGGATCTCACCACACTCAAGGGAAAGATACAAGACTGTCTGGGTTTGCCACTGGCAGATTGTAGAGCACTAGGGCCTTGAGCGAACACAAGTGGTAGCCAGGTAGTGGTTACAGCAAGCCTTGGATGAGACTCAGTGCTGTGCTGATTTCACATCTTACTAAGCACAGTACTAGTGGTGCTGACCACAGGAGTACTTGTGTCGCCCCTCCCCAAGCTCCAGGCAGCTTAGCACAGAGAGAGAGAGAGACTCCTTTTGTTTGGAAGAAAGTAAGGGAAGAGAAAAAAGAGTAATTCAGAGAATTCTTCAGATAGCATCCAAGACCTCAAAAGCGGTACCTCTATGAGTCTGCAAGAGCCACAGTGATACTAGGCTTGGGGTGGGTGCCCCGTAATGCAAATATGGCTGAAGTGACCAAAAATGTAGATCACAACACCCAAGGTTCTTAGAATACCTGGAAAGCCTTTGCAAGAAGGAGGGGAACAAACAAGTCCAGACTGCAAAGACTACAATAAATACCCAACTCTTCAATGCCCAGGCACAGACAAACATCCACAAGTATCAACACCATCCAGGAAACACGTGACCTCAAGAAACAAGCAAAATAAAGCGCCATGAATGAATTCCAGAGGGACAGAGATATGTGACCTTTCAGACACCAAATTCAAAATAGCTGTTTTGAGGAAACTCAGAAAAATTCAAGATAACACAGAGAAGGGATTCAGAATCCTATCATATACATTTAATGAAGAAATTGAAATAATTAAAAAGAATCAAGCAGAAATTCTGGATTTGAAAATGCAATTGACATGCTGAAGAATGCATTGGAGTCTCTTTTTCTTTTTTTCTTTTTTTTTTTTGAGACGGATTCTCACTCTGTTGCCCAGGCAGGAGTGAAGTGGCGCTATCTTGGCTAACTGCAACCTCCGCCTCCTGGGTTCAAGCAATTCTCCTGCCTCAGCCTCCCGAGTTGCTGGGGTAACAGGCGCCTGCCACCACACCCAGCTAATTTTTTGTATTTTTAGTACAGATGGGGTTTCACCATGTTGGCCAGGCTGGTCTTGAACTCTTTACCTTGTAATCTGCCCACCTTGGCCTCCCAAAATACTGGGATTACAGGTGTGAACCACTGCACCCAGCCGCATCGGAGTTTCTTAACAACAGAATTGATCAAGCAGAGGAAAGAATTAGTGAGTTTGATGGCAGGCTGTTTGACAACACACAGTCAGAGGAACAAAAAATAAAAGAATAAAAAAGGATGAAGCACACCTACGAGATTGAGGAAATAACCTCAAAAGGGTAAATCTAAGAGTAATTGGCCTTAAAAAGGAGAGAGAGGGAGAGATGGAGTAGAAAGTTTATTCAAAAGGATAATAAAATAGAGAACTTTTCAAACCTATAGAAAAATATCAGTATTCAAGCACAAAAAGGTTTTAGAACATCAAGCACATTTCACCCAAATGCCACTACCTCAAGACATTTAATAATGAAACTCTCAAAGGTCAAGGATAAAGAAAGGATCCTAAAAGCAGCAAGATAAAATAAATAAGTGACCTACAATGTGTCTTCAATACATCTGGAAGCAGACTCTTCAGTGGAAACCTTACAGGCCAGGAGAGAGTAGCATGACATATTTAAAGTGCTGAAAATAAAAAAACAAAAACAGGAACTCAAACCCTAGAATAGTATCATAAGTGAAAATATTCTTCAAACATGAAGGAGAAATAGAGACTTTGCAAGACAAACAGCAACTGAAGGATACTATCAATATCAGATCTGTTCTATAAGAAATGATAAGCTGGGCGCCGTGGCTCACGCCTGTAATCCCAGCACTATGGGAGGCCAAGGAGGGCGGATCACGAGGTCAGGTGATCGAGACCATCCTGGCTAACAGGGTGAAACTCCGTCTCTACTAAAAATACAAAAAAAAAAAAAAAATTAGCTGGGCATGGTGGCGGGTGCCTGTAGTCCCAGCTACTTGGGAGGCTGAGGCAGGAGAATGGTGTGAACCCTGGAGGGGGAGCTTGCAGTGAGCCAAGATCACGCCACTGCACTCCAGCCTGGGCAACTGAGCGAGAGTCCGTCTCAAAAAAAGTAATAATAATAATAATAATGAAATAAAAAAATAAAAGAAATGATAAAGAGAGTTCTTCAATCCCCAAAAAAAGGACCTTAATGAACAATAAGTCTGAGTGTGGTGGCTTATGTCTGTAATCCCAGCACTTTGACAGGGGGTTCATTTGAGCCCAGGAGTTTGAGACCAGCCTAGCCAACAGGGTGAGATCCTCTCTCTATAAACAAATAAAAACTTACTTCTAGCTACTTGGGAGGCTGAGGTAGGAGGATCTCTTTAGCCCAGGAAATTGAGGCTGTAGTGGGCCAAGATCATGTTTCTGCACTCCAATCTGGGCAACAGAGAAAGACCCTGTCTAAAAAAAAAAAAAAAAAGCAATAAGAAATTATTTGAATGTTCAAAACTCACTGATAATAAGTGCACAGAATATCATAACACTGTATTTATGGTGAATAAACAACAAAATGTTAAAAAGTGGTGAGACAGAGTTAATGTGTATAGTTTTTATTAGTGCTTGACTGCTAGTTTATAAAATCTGAATTAAGTTATAAGTTTAAAATAATGGGTTATAAAATATTCACAAGTCCCATGGTAATCCCAAATCAAAAAACATGCAACAGATACACAAAAAATCAAAAGCAAAAAAAAATCAATCATACCACCAGAGAAAATTACCTTCACTAAAAGGAAGAGAGCAAGGAAAAAAATGAAGGAAGAGAAAAACCACAAAACAACTAGAAAACAAACCACAACATGGCAGGAATAGGTCCTTACTTATTAATAATAGCATTGGATTTAAATGGACTAAACTCTCCAGTCAAAAGATATAGTGACTGAACTGATCCTTTAAAAAAGTCTCAATGAACTGTTGCCTACAAACAAAACAAAACAAAACTTCACCTATAATGACACATACAGACTAAAAATAAACGGATAGAAAGAGACATTTCATGCAAATGGAAACCAATAAAAAGCAGGAATAGCTATACTTACTTCAGACAAAATAGATTTCAAGACAAAAACTATCAAAAGGAACAAAGAAAATCATTATATAATGAGTAAGGGGTAAAATCAGCAATAAAATATAACTATTTTAAATATATATGCACATAACACTAGAGCACTCAGATATACAAAATAATAAAGCAAATAATATTAGAGCTATAGAGATAGACCTCAATACAATAATAGCTGAAAACTTCAATACCCTACTTTCAGCATGAGACAGATTTTCTAGAGAGAAAATCAAAAAAGAAACATCAGACTTAATCTTCACTTTAGACCGAATAGACATTTACAGAACATTTCATCCAATGGCTTCAGGATATACATTCTTTTTCTTGGCTCTCAAGGATAGATTTTATGTTAGACCACAAAACAAGTCTTACAAAATTAAAAAATATGAAATAATATCAAGTATCTTCTCTGGCCATAATGGAACAAAACTAGAAATTGATAACAAGAGGAATTTTATAAACTATACAAACACATGGAAATTAAAGAATATGCTCTTGAATAACCAAGGGGTCAATGAAGAAATTAAGAAACAAACTGAAAAATTTCTTGAAACAAATGATAATGGAAACGCAACATATCAAAACCTATGGAATATAGGTTAAAGCAGTAGTACGAGGGAATTTGATAGCTATAAATGCCTACATCACAAAAGTAAAAAAAGAAAAAAAATTCAAATAAATAACCTAATTGTGCATCTTAAAGAACTAGTAAAGCAAGAGCAAACTAAACCCAAAATTAGTAGAAGCAAATAAATAATAAAGATCAGAGCAGAAATAAATGAAATTTACAAAAGATCAATGAAATGAAAAGCTGTTTTTTTAAAAGATAAAATTGGCAAAGTATTAGCCATACTAAGAAGAAAAGAGAGAAGGCCCAAATAAATAAAATCAAAGATGAAAAATGATATATTACAAATGATACCAAATAAATTCAAAGAATCATTGGGGAGTATTATGAGCAACTACATACCAATAAATTAGAAAACCTGGGAGAAATGTATGAATTCCTAGGCACATACAACTTACTAAGAATGAATCATAAAGAAATCCAAAACCTGAACAGACCAGTAACAAGTAAAGAAATCAAAGTCATAATGAAAAGTCTCCCGCAAAGAAAAGCCCATGTTCCAATGGTTTCACTGTTGAATTTTACTAAACATTTAAGAAGAACTAATACCATTCTTACTCAAACTATTCCAAAAAATTGGGAAGAAGGAATACTTTCAAACTCATTCTACAAGGCCAGTATTATCCTAATACCAAAACCAGACAAAGACACATCAAAAAAAGAAAACTACAGACCCATATCCCTAATGAATTTTAAATCCAAAATTCCTCAACAAAATACTAGCCAACCAAAATCAACAACATATTAAAAACACCATTCATCGTGACTAAATGGGATTTATTCCATTTATCCCACGCTCCCATGTTTATTTCAGCAATATTCACAATAGCAAAAATTTGAAAACAACTTAAGCATCTATCAACAGATTAATGGATTAAAAAATGTACATAGAAACAATGGAGTACTATTCGGCCATAGAAAAGAACAAGATCCTATCATTTCTAACATGGATGTAACTGGGGGTCATGATGCCAAAGTGAAATAATGAGGCACAGAAAGACAAACTTCACATGTTCTCACTTATTTCTGGGAGCTAAAAATTAAAGCAATTGAATTCAGGGAGGCAGAGAGTTGAATGATGGTTACCAGAGTCTTGGACAGGTAATGGGGAAAGAGAAGGAAGTGGGGATGATTAATGAATACAAACATATAGTTAGATATAATGTATAAGATCTAGTATTTGATAGTACAACAGAGTGAATACAGTCAACAATAATTTATTTATTGTACATTTTAAAATAACTAAAGAATATAATTGGATTATTTATAACACAAAGAAAGGATAAATGCTCAAGGTGATGGATACTCTATTTACTCCGAAGTGATTATTATGCATTGTACATCTGTATCAACATATCTCATATACCTTATGAATATATAAACCTACTATGTATCCTCAAAAATAAAAAGCAGACAATTTTACATAAAAAACAAGAACAATTTGTTTTGATGTTATGCAAGATATTACAGGTATGCTACATATAGCAACTATTATGGCAAGAATATAGGAAATAACTTGAACAAAAAAAAAGAAAAACTAGTCATATAACTTATAATACATCTGATGTTGGCCATATAATTCAGTACTCACTACAATATCATATGTATGTGCTTGTATGTTATAGAACTAGAATTATTTTCATTTATTTAAATTCAACATTGGGTTCAACTTTTATATATATATAGCAAGGGGCAAGTGAAAAATCAGAGAACCTGCTGAGCCAAAATCTTCCTTTTATAAATCAAAAAATTAAATAACTATATTTTTATATTATGTTCATCTTTTAGAACAGATCTCTATGTTATTATTATTTTCTATCTTAACGTTCAATAACAGAAAAGCAAAGTCAGCATTCCTATCAAAATGGTTTTTTTTTTTTTAACAATTTGACACACTTTAGGTAGGCATCATACATTATTTTAAACATTGTATATTGTAATAATAAACATAAAACTCATATTGTTTCAACACATACTGTAGTGTTTCATCCAATATTGTTTTATATACACTATTTGGAATAATTTTCAATTCTATATTATACAAAATATTAAAATTGATTAAATGTGTCTTTAAAAATAAGAATTATAAAAATAAATATTCTGGTTAAACTTAGAAAATTTTATATATAAAGATATTAAATAGCTATGTATTTAGCCTATTTCTCATATTCCTATTTCACTTATATGTTGTTTGCTAACCGGTTCAACAGCTTATCCTATCCATGCTCCATTCATACTTTTTCTGAAACCATTAGGTTTTTATATAAAAGTAGGGCTCATAATGATCAGTTCTTATCAGTTCACTTATTCATTTAATTATTCACATTTTAATCTAGAATTCAAGGCAGAAATTCAGCTAGCAAATTTTTATAAAAACACCTAATATGTGCCAAATAATCTGCTAGACCTTGGATTAGAATGAAGAAAATGCAGAGATCCCTGCATCCACAAAATTGTCTTTGTTGTGAAGGAGAAAGCAAATAAGTAAATAATAAATTAACATGATTATTTTTCATTGTTATTGTTAATAGTGTAGGTTTATCCCAAAATGTTATTAAAAATGACAACTATAAACACTAGGACTGGTTTGTGCTTATGAGTATGAGTATAGGTGTAGTGGTAAGAAATATACCCACAGATTTCTCTCTTTTTTTTTTTTCATTTTTATTCTGTAATGTTAAGATTCAGGCACTCAGCAAACCTCAGGCAGTCAGCACATGTGTTTGTACTCCAAAATCACCACAAGGGTCTGACAACTTTATTTCAAGTGCTCCTTATGTCTCCTGATCTATCTGAATCTGATATTGTTTCCAGGTTTTGGTCCTATCTCTTGATTACAATCTAATTTCTGCTGCTTTGAATACTCCCTTAAATCCACCTCTTCTTAAATTGGATAATCTCTCAAAGATTTTGTTTGAACTCCATTTCCAGCATTTCTACTCTTTGACCACCTCATCTTGTAAGCTGTTCTCTAGTTGTATGTTTATATTTATCCTCTGGTATTCTTGGTGGCTCTGTGTTTGGAGCGATTGATTCTTCAGGGAAGAAATTTATAGAGCCTTCCTTTTTGAGCCCTGTCTTTTACTTCCTGTGGTTCCAAAGAAAAACAATTTTGACTGGCTTTATGCTTTGTCCTTATCATGCTCAAATGGATCCCCCATTGTTAAAAAATTGTGGACAATATTCTATGTATTATTATCAAATATTCCTCTGGTTATTACAGCTCTTCAAGTTTTGTTAATTTGCCATTTCATATGTGTTTCTATTATTAATACAACTTATCCATATAACTTAACCTGATTCACCATTTAAGGGTATCCTCAGTTTACCAATAGTGAAAGAAAATTATTTGTATGATATTTCAGAAAATCATTATCACAACACTTTAATTTTTAAAACAGTGTATTTACGATTGTCTATGTAATGTGCTTTCTATAAAACAATAAAATGAATACCCTAATCCAACCACTTAATTTAAAAAGTAGAACCTTATCCATACCTTTATCATGTAATCTTCTCTTTTTATTCTGTCTTTTCCCACAGATCACTGCTAGTGAATTCTATTTTTATAACTCCCAAACATTTTAATATAATTTAGCCTCATGTATGTATTTATAAATAATGTACATTGTTTTGCCTGTTGTAAAGTGCTATATTAAGAGTATTTGTTATTATTATGCAATTTTTTATATACAATGCTATAAATCATCCTTCTACATAATTGAAAATACATGGATTTGAGTAAGTAACCTGTTTTATACTCACTATATTATGCAGTAGTAACTTATTTTTTAAATGTAGGAAAAATTTTGTTGAGAAAAAATATTTAAGCTGGAGTAATTTTCTATATGATAAATACAGAGCTATATTTAGGGAATTCTAATGGCATCATTTAGAAATTCACCATATCCAGCTAGAGCTACTATATGTTGTTACATCTTCTTATCTAAAATCAGTCTTCCTCTAGTCTCTTATCTCTCTTTTATTTGTTAATTCTGTTAGAGATCTGAATGAGCCTACTTTGATACAGAGCTTCTTTTCCCCAGGTGCTTCCATCTACAGACAAAAATGTTTCACAGTGTACATACAGCACTATCAATTATTGATATAATATGGATCCTACAGCTGTTCTACTTTTACAAGTGTCCTAAACCTAAAATGAGAATGACATAAACAAACAAATAGGTACCAGAAATTTTGCTGTTTAAAGAATAATATTCTGGGAAAAGGAACTTTTCTTTGGCAGTCTAATTATTTCAGCTTGAGTCAGACATTGCTCCCTATGAAGTTTTTGGATGAATTGTGGAATGGTCAGGGTTTTAAAGAAGTGTTGTCTGTGGTAGACTAAAAAAAGTCCCTATGGAGTATGTAAGATTTCCGCAATAAGAGCGATATGCACTAGCAGTAGGATAAGGTTTTCCAGAAGAACATCTTAAAATCAAGAAGGAGAATAATTGTTATAGGCAGTGATTTCTTTCTACTAAAATAATTTAAAACAGTTGAACAAAATACTTATAACGTAGCACTCCTACTGCCATATTCTAAAGTTGGTGACAAACCAACTGTGAGAGTAAGAGAATGGGAAGGAAGGAATACAAGAACATAGAAATATGAAAAGCCTTGGAGAACTAGGCATTCTTTCTATTTTATCTTTTTCTTGATGCTAAATTTCTCATTAAAACTCGTCACTTCATAAAACAATCTTTCATTTTGTTTATTGAGAAAATACTGCGTTTGGTCTTCAATAGGCACTAAAAATAAAAATAGACAAAGTACCATCTCTCATGAAGTATATGTGCTACTACTTTCTATGTGCCTCCCATTCCCATTTCTTGAATTACTGAAAACAAGCACCAGTAGATATATGGTCAAAGACATTGGTCTTACAGTTAGATTACTAAGTTAAAATCAAATATTATTTTGATTTGACTATTTTGATTACATGTATTATAAAAATATAGCGAGGAACTTGGTCGAAGAGTCAAAACATAAATCAGGGGATTGGGTGGAGTTGCAAATAGTAGATTTCAGTAAAAATCTACTTAGCTATCAATTTATATAAAGAATCCTATACACATAGACCTCCATATATATCTGCTGTATTACTGGAAGCATCAGCCTGGCTCCTCAATCTTTTTCAAGGCATGTAAGTAATTCTTTCTGCTTAAATTAACTTGTTCTGGGGATTCAAGTATGAGAATGGATAACAGACAAATAATAGAAGGGAATGAGAGTGTACTTTCTAATACTTAAATTTAGATTCATTGAATAGCCCATTCTAGAGTGGAATTTGACTTGGAAAGGCAAGAAAATCATAACAAAAAAGAAAAAGAGAAAAGACACATTTATTTGTGTTAAAAAGAAGACAACTAGTAATATCAATAAAATGTGATTATTTTGGTTGGATTTTTGGGTATACTTATGTAATATATGAGAAAATATGTGGAGTAATAGCAGTTGTCATTAGGCTTTATTGAAGGTTCCACCTCAAAGTAGGAAAAAACACATAAATAATATTGATAAAAATAACCCATTATAAAAATATCAAAATTAACGGAACGTAATATCTATTGTAAGCTATTTAGGTTCAGTATAGAATGGTGAAAATCACTGGTGGTACATAGAAACACAGAATCAATGGCTCAATATATTCAGAAAACATGAGTTACCTATTGAATTAGCTAAAAGAAAAATAAAAAGATAAATATCGATGCTTGTAATGGTCCTGTGCCTTAAGAGAAAGTGGAGATATAAATTGGTAAAATAGTTCTGGAAAGCTTTTGACAATTTATATCACCAGTCTTAACATTTGTTCATACCTTTAGAATGTGGCATTTTATTTATTCAAATACATTATAAGAGATAATTTGAAATGCAGATACATTGTTTTTCAAAAATATTTATGACTTTTAACAAAATTTGAAAAAGATTACAATATTTCAAAAATTATGTGCAACACATTACCACACAGAACAGTCATTTTTAATTCAGTCAACATTTATTGTATCCTCCCTTTGTTCCATGTACTATGTTGCAAAGATGGACAAACACAGCACTTATATTCAAGGAACTTAAAGGTGCATCTGTATCTTCTCAATCTATTCCTATTCTCTGATTATGACATATTTTTCTCTTTTACTGGATTTTTTCTGTCTGTAGTTTAAATTTAGTGTTGTGTGATGCTCAGTGGCTGTTCTATCCCTGTATAGCCTTTCTGACATGCATCATTGAATTTCCGCTGATATGATAACAAGCTCACAATTATGATTTTATATTAGACCTCTATCCTGAGCTCTTAAACTGTATTTCAGTTGATAAACCAGGCATCTACCCAAATGTCTTACAGGAACCACAAGGTTAATATCACAAAACTGAAAGTTATTATTTGTCTGAAACCTTTTCCACCATTGATATCTTCTTGGTGAATAGCACCACGTTTTCACACTGGCAGAAAGTGGACCCTCATCCTCCTCTTCCACTCATATTCAATCATATTGACTCCCTGTAAAATATGACTCTTTAGGAGTTCCTTCATCCAACTCTTTGTCCAAAAGGACTCATTTTTTTTCAAAATTGGTATGATTAGACAAGTGCCCAGTGTGGTATTCTACTAGCTCAATAAATGTTTGCAGAAAATTTGTTTAATGAGTGAATGAAATATTTTGGATATATCTTTAGAGGTATTTTCATGTAGGTGAGAGGAGCTAATGTTTTGGGTGATTTAAGTTCTACCAGTAGAATGCTATGATTAAAAAGTGGGATACAGAGTGAAATGGACATAGCTGTTGATGAAAATGAACTTTGATGAAAATTGATTTTGAATTGATTTGAGGTTTTATCCCTTGATTATAGATTTTTTAAGAAGAATATAAATTTGGGATTTGACATGTAGAATCATAGTAGAAAGTCATAATTATCAAATAATACATTTTCTATTGTTGCAATAAAATTTTGGCTTAGCATAAAGCAATTCAACTAGATAGGCCTGTAGTTCCTCATCACTGGTGACTTAAGTTCTGAACAGTAGACTATGAGCAGAAGTAACATTGCCAATTCCAGATCTAGGACTCATGACATAAACATACTTCCTCTAAGTACTCTTTCTTCTCCTGGATTATTAGAACCATGTGTGGGCTTGAACCATAAAAACAACAATAGCACCAAATGGGACTGTGAAGTGATTGCTTGAATGAAATTTGGGTCTGTATGGAGCAAAAATGGACCACTGATTTAAAACTGTAATGAGAGAGACATTAAATTTTATATTGTCTATTCCATTTTATTCAGGATCTCTTTGATATATCAGCTTTATTTGACCCTAAAATATAAAGACAGTAGAGCTCCTCATATGTAGTAAAATAGTTATTTTAAATTATTACTTATTTTTCAGTTCAGGGTTAATTATATTGCAAAAAGTGGTAAAAATATATAGATGTGAATTCAGGGAAACTATCAATTATGTTAAACTGTTATGACAGATAACTTTCATCAGAGTCTCAGAGATAAACAATTATTATCTTTTCTTTCATAAACTTGTCCTTTAATTATTTTGGCCAAACTCTTTCCAGAGTTTTCCTCTTCCAAAATCTGCTAACATTGGAACTCCATCCACCCTTGCCTTTTGCAATCTAGGAACTAAGTTTAATTTAATAAGCATATACTTTTCAGTGATCATGATCTCAGGACATTGATAAAATATAAATTGTGTTTGCTTATTTTGACTTTTATTCTCTCCTTTTCTTTCTAGTTCTTTTGTTACAATTACTCATTATCTACCAATGCTATATAGGCATCTAAGTCCATAAACACTTTCTCAAGTACATTTACTTCCTCCATTCTTATTCTTCATAAAGTCTGTGTTATTGTAATAGCATTGGTAGAAAATTATTGTATAGATTTATCTGCAGGTTAAACTGTTCTCTTCCACAACCATATTCAATTAAACAAAAAAGAATTCTTAAAAATTTTAAGGAGTCTTATTGATATATTTACCACATTTATCCATATCTATATTTAGTACATTAAAATTATGGTCTTCTTAATAATGACCTGAATTCTCTAGTCTCTGGAAGCACAATGAGAATCTGTGTGTTGATGCTAGTTATCCCATATAAATCAAAAGAAAATGGACAGTAGACACTGAATTGTAATTCTGGTCAGGTTCCCTATCTCCAAAACATGTTTTAGAAAAAAATACTTTCACTAACCCACGGATTTTCAATTGTATCAAGAAGGTAATAAGTTTATATTTTATATTTTGTCTAACTATGAAAACAATGTATGCTACCTTCTGCTTTCAGCCATGAAGGGGCAATAGAGGATGATTTTACCCTCCTGACCTAGGCAAGCAAAGAACTAGACCAAGTACATAAAGCAGCAGTTTTCAGAAATGAGACAAAAGGCAACAGAGGGCTATGATATCTGAAGGAAGAGAAACAAATGGAGATTCTAGTCTGCAGTACGAGTAGAAATATAAACAAAGCCTGGTAGCCACTTGAGTTGAAGGGACAGTGGTAGAACTTGAGGAGAACATGGCAGCTATAATTCGTAGGGCAGAACTCCAGAGGGGAAAGACTTACACGCACACATGCGCACGCACACACACACACACACACACACACACACAGAGAGAGAGAGAGAAGAATCTAGAGATTTGCAGGGAGATCCCGTTGAGTCTTACATTGACCAAAATCAGAGAATATGCATAGCAAAATGTCGGGAGCTTTGGTGAAGAATCTCTAGAAAGAGCAAGTGGAACAATTCCTGACATTCACACATGGCTAGGAAGTATTTGTGTTCTCACCAGCCAGAATAAAAACGTCAATAAAACAGGAAATATTGGGTAGAATATTCAGAAGGATGTTGTTTCCATAGTGAGTCAAATTTTACTCTAATATAATAGCTACTCTGTGCCTGCCTAACTAAACTTAAAACCAAGCCTTTAAAGGATAAAACTGTTTCCAATAACATAAGTGTGTCATAGAACAAAATTATGGGAAAACAAAGATAAAAATGACTACAGATTCCTCATCAGAAACTACAATGCCAGCCAGAAGACAGCAGAACAACATTAAAGCCCTAAAGAATACAGTTGCCTAGAAATCAATATGCACAAAAAATATCCCTGGAAAACAAAAATAGAATATAGACTGACTTAGGTATGCAAAAGTTAAGTTTCATCACCAGCAGATCTTTACTATAAGAAATGTGAATGTCCTTCAAGCAGAAGGAGAATAATACATGAAAATCTGTATCTACATGGAACAATAAAGAACACTAGAAAAGGTAAATGGAGGGATACACATAATTTTTCTTAGTTATGTAAAACAAGTCTGGAAAAGACCAAAAGGAGAACAAAGAGCAGGTGAAAACAAGGAGCAGAAAACAGCAAAATGATATATTTAAGCCAACCATATCCACAACCATATAAAACTGAGGCTTAAATATTTTAATTAAGAGACAGAGATTGTCAGAATAAATTTTTTTAAGAAAGCAAAACCTAAATACTACCAACAAGTAATTAACTTTAAATATAAAAAACAAATACGTTAAAAGTAAAATTATAGAAAAAACTATCATGGTAATGCTAATCAACAGGATGCTGAATAGGCATATTGATATCAGACAGGGAATAGTTCAGAGAAAATAATATTACCAGAAGAAAATAAGTCATTTTATAATGATAAAGGGTTAATTCACCAAGAGAACACAATTAATCTATGACAGAAAACACATTAGTGTTTGCATATAGATGGGTTGGGAGACAGAAAAGGATAACAAAGAGATAGAAGGAAACTTTTGTGGGTGATGGATCTGTTCATTTTTTTTATTGGGATGATAATTTCAAGATACAAGTGTAAACATATAAAATTGCACACTTTAAGTATTAATGATTTATTGTGCTTTAATTATAATAAAGTTGTACAAGAATCATGCATGCTATCTAATAAAATTCAGACAATGAAACAGTAAAACTAGACATTCTCATATTGTTTACAATCTTAGGAGAAATTTACTCAGCCTTTCACCATGAAGTCTAATTTTAGCTACATGTTTGTTCTGAATGCCCATTATCAGGTTGTGTATATTTATTTTTTTTCCTATTTTGCTGAGAGTTTTGCCATGAATAAATGTTGGGTTTTGTAAAAACTTTTTCTGCATATATTAAGATGATCAAATCATTTTTCATTTTTAGTCTTTTAATATGGTGATTTGCATTGTTTATCTTTTTAAAAATTTTAAACCATGTTTGGATTTCTGAGATAAACTCCACTAAATCATGATTAAATGTTGAAATTGTTTTGCTAAAATTATGCTGAGAATTCTTGAATCCATGGTCATATTTTCTTGTGTTATATTTTGTCTAATTTTATCCTATAATATTGATAGCCTTATAGGAGTAAGTTAAAAAGTATTCACTCATCTTCAATCAACTGGAAGCATTTACATAAATTGGTATTATTTCTCCCTCAAATGCTTGGGGAAGCTCACCATTGAAGCCATCTAGGCCTCAAGTTTTTTATTAGAAAATATTTAACTATAAATTCAATTTATTTGATAAATATAGGGCTATTTATACAATATATTAAATATTTCTTTTTGAGTGAGATTTAGTAGTTTTTCAAAGAAATTGTCCATTTCATAGATGATGTCAAATGTATTTACAGTAATTTGTCCACAGCTGTTCACAGCATTCTTTTATTATTCTTTTACTGTGTGTAGGATTTTTAGAAATCTCCCCTTTCTTATTTCTTATATTGCAGAATATATTCTCCACTGCCTCCTCTGGATCATTTCAGACAGAATATAGCTTCAAACCAACAAAAGGAGAACAAGGTAAGTAAAGCTTCTTCATTCCTTGTTACCCACATGGATTATATGTAAGTTCATTCAAGTTCTATAGCACAGGGTTGCAAGTGTGCTGATGTGACAAAAAAGTACAAATAACAAGGAAGAATCCATTATTCAGGTTCACAAGAGATACTACCCTTTCCTCTTGACATATATATAGGTTCTGGTCCAGTGATAGGTACAAGAATATGTCTTAGATGCCATCTAAAATGGATAGTTGCCCTCATATCAGGTTTCTGTCTTTCAACCTGGAACATAATGTTTTTTAACATATCTAAATAATTTTAGATTAAAAAAATCACCATTTTATATCATGCTATCTAACAATCTAAGCCCATAAACAGGGAAGGGGCCTTGAGCATTTGGAATACACGACTTTAGATTCTAGGTACTTGTTATGGAAACTGTGTCCACAGCCAAATCTCATCTTGAATTGTAGCTCCCATAATCCCCATGTGTCATGGGAGGGACCCAGTGGGAGGTAATTGAATCATAGGGGTGGGTTTTTCTCATGCTGTTCTCATGATAGTGAATAAGTCTCACAAGATCAGATGGTTTTAGAAAGGGCAGTTCCCCTGAACATGCTCTGTTTGCCTGCCACCATGTAAGATGTGCCTTTGCTCCTCCTTCACCTTCTGCTGTGTTTGTGAGGCCTCCCCAGCCAGGTGGAACTGTGAGTCCCTTAAACCTATTTTTCTTTATAAATTACCCAGTCTCTGGTATTTCTTCATAGCTGTATGGAAATAGTCATAGCTGACTATTAAGGTCAGCTTCAGTGATTGTTTTGCTAAGAAAGAAGACCCGCTCCAAACAGAGGGCTTAAGAAAATGTCATCTGCTTTTAAGCAGGGTCTACTTGAAGGAATTTAAGGCTCTATAATATTCACCAGCCTGTCCATGAAAGAAAGACTCATGGAGCATTTGGTGTTTTCAAAAATAGTTTTAGAATTTAAAACTGCCAGACTGATTTATTTGTAACACCATATATATCATTTTGTTACCATGTTATTGGCTAGGGCTTTCCCAGTAATTCAATCTTTTTTCTTTCTAATCTTTCAATTTGACAAACAGCTAAAACTATTGTATCATTGTGAAAAAGGAAAGTCAGTTGTTGTTAAAGAGTTTTGTTAAATGATTATGTGATTCATTATGCAAAAATTTCATACTCTTATGTTAATTTTCCTTAGAATGAATATATCCAGTGGTATAATTTGCACATCAATAGCTAAGGAATTCATTGTAAATTGAACTGTTTACTATAGAATTAAAATAAAGCAACAATAGAGAAATTCACCAAGTGAATTTTTAATTTTAACAATAAAAATGAGAAGATAATATCGAAAATATAAAATTACTGTGAGTCATGGCAAAACAAGCAAACAAAAAATACAAGCCAAGAAATTTAGGTACAATCTTCATTTATGTATTTGTTTTAATAAAATTTTTATTTTATTAAAATAAAATAAAATGTCCCAACAGGGCCATTTTAATAAAATAAAAATTATTTAGATTTTAAAATTTTGTTTTAATAAAAATTTTTCTTTTAATGACAACTTTTAACATTTACTTTATATTTATTTATATCCATCTGAACCTACTGAATATATTTGACTAAATACATTGTCATGTATTAAATAAACTTCCTATATCTTATAAGTGGTATTTGTGCCAAGTTTTTAGATAAAGATTAAAGTACATATCCATTTAGCTCCGATTCAGTAGTTCTAAATGCAGTTTTAAAATCATTACACCAGATTACCTATGATGTTGGAGTAACTTCTGGTATGGAATTAAAAATTGGAGAAGCTCACTCATGCTTTTTAATCAATGTGAACATGTGGTTCAACATCATTGCGACGTCCTTGCACAGCCCTAATGCATCAAGCTGTATCTAATTAATCAAAAATCAGATTGAAGTTAGAAGAAAAGCAGTCATAAACCCTAACATCTTTTGTAAACCAAAAGTTATCTGAGACGGGTCTCAATCAATTTCGAAAGTTTAGTTTGCCTAGGTTAAGGACATGCCCCTGACATAGCCTCAGGAGGTCCTGGTAACATGTACCCAAGGTGGTCAGGGGTATAGTTTGCTTTTATATATTTTAGGGAGACATGAGATATCAATCATTATGTGTAAGATGTAAATTGGTTTGATCTGGTAAGGTGGGACAACTTAAGGCAGGGGCTTCCAGGTCATAGGTAGGTAAGAGACAAAAGGTTGCATTCTTTTGAGTCCTTGATCAGCCTTTCGCTGAATACACAATTTAGTGTGGCTCAGGGAGTTTACATTTTACATAAACCATAGGACAGAGGAAGCAATCAGCTATGCATTTGTCTCAGGTGAGCCTCAATGGGATGACTTTGAGTTCTGTCTGTCCTCTGTCCACAAGGAATTTCCTTGTGGGCAAATTGTGGGGAAGGTATGTAGCTTTTTATCTTGATAGCTATCTTGTTTAGGAATAAAATGGGAGGCCGGTTTGCCTGACATAGTTGCCAGCTTGACTTTTCTCTTGGCTTAGTGATTTTCCGGTCCTGAGATTTATTTTTCTTTAACACTGTCAGTTAAAAATGATTGGTTCTCACTTGGGCAACTGCCATAGGATTCTAGTTCTGCCCTCTACTTTCTCCTATCCTTCTTCAACACATTATGCAAAAAGCAGATGGATCTTTCTAAAACATAAATTGTATCATGTTATCCACTTGCTTAATATGTATTGTACTTGGAAAATAACTGACATTTTTTACTATTGTCAGAAGTGTTCAAACCAGAGCAACTCCATCTTGTATAGAGGCTGGGTAAAATAAGGCTGAGGTCTACTGAGGTGCATTCTCAGGACATTAGGCATTCTTAGTCACATGATGAGATAGGAGGTTGGCACAAGATACACGTCACAAAGACCTTGCTGATAAACTATCATGCAGTAAAGAAACCGACCAAATCCCACCAAACCCAAGATGGCCATGAAAGTGACCTCTAGTCATCCTCACTGCTCATTATATGCTAGTTATAATGATTGTCATGCTAAAAGACACTCCCACCAGGGCCATGACAGTTTACAATTTCTATAGCAATGTCAGGAAGTTACCCTATGTGGTCTAAAAAGAGGAGAAACCCTCAGTTCTGGGAATTGCCCACCCCTTTCCTGGAAAACTCATAAATAATCAACCCATCGTTTAGCATATAATCAGGAAATATCCATAAAAA
This sequence comes from Homo sapiens, assembly GCF_000001405.40. NCBI lineage: Eukaryota > Metazoa > Chordata > Mammalia > Primates > Hominidae > Homo > Homo sapiens. Next base: position 69,621,039 of record NC_000013.11, on the reverse strand, counting down.
TAGCCAATAAGCAGCCCTTGAGGGTGCTCTACCTATGGAATAACCAGTCTTATACTTTCTTAGTAAACTTGCATTCATTTTACTCTATGGACTAGCACCAAATTCTTTCCTGTGCGAAGTCCAAAAACCCTCTGCTGGGGTTAGGTCTGGATCAGGACCCCTTTCCGGTAACATTATCACCTATATAGCCCTATATCTTCTGGACGCTGGAGAGCACCCCAACGTAATCTCTAAGCACAATGCTCCAGACACACTGGCTGCTTTCTGATTCAATACTATTCCAAGTTTCCTGCAATATAAGAGTCTTTGCACAGCATTTACCTTCAGATTGGAACTGTTTTCCTACTGCTTTCATCTTTCTATTCCCTCAGGTTCAAAATAAAGTTCTGAGAGGTCTTCCTTGAACACATTATCCAGAGTTAGTTGGCTTCAGTCACTCTCTAATCTGAATCACTGTAATTTCTTCCTTTCCTAATGGCACATGTCATGCATTTTTGTTATTTGGCAGACTAATTGTATTTCTTTCATCCCTTTCATACTGTGAACTCCATAAGGACAGGGATTGTTTCTTAGTCTTTATCCAACCACCACCTAAAACAATGTTGGCACAAAGTAGGTCAACAGTAAATATTTTTAATAAATAAATCATTTTAATCTAATATCTGGATAATTTTTCCACATCTTCCACCTAATGGAAGAGTGACATTTTATTAATGGAAAAGACACCTTATTTTTCTAATAGCTTTCATGAATATGAAAACAATCCACTCATATCCTGATATACTTTTCCTCTTGTGACTAACAGCATTCAT